>NC_000001.11:210457314-210608829 GCF_000001405.40 Homo sapiens
CCTCATATGAGAAAAAACTTATTAAAAAAAAGTCTAAGCTTCTTGAAGCTACAAAGCTTTAATCACAAAAAAAAGTTAAGCAAAATCTAGAGTAGGTTTGATGTGGACAAAGTAAAAGTTATTAGAGGGACTTGGAACAGAAAATGTCCAGACGAGAGGTCAGGCCACGGACTGACACAGGGGCATAAGCTGGTACACGCAGATAGAGCATGCTTCCTGAAGCTGAGGGAATTGGGAGCCAGTGCCTGACACACACGATGAGATTCGGAAGGCAGGGGTCAAACATGCAAAGATGGCAGCTCTGCAGCCAGCCCACAGAGCTAAGGGGCACCTCTCTCCAATCCTGGCAAACGCTGGCACAAGACACAACTGGATTCTTTCTGTTGCTCATGAATTTTCATGAGGCAGTTGGTGAGTTGTTCTCCAGGTCTGTGGGGGAATTAACAATTCAAAAGGTGATCTCATACTACTCAGACCCTTGTGTTTACCCCCGGGAAGATCTTCTGATCATTAACAAGGTTCACTGGACATGCTACTCTGTGTTGTGTGCCTGTTGCTTGGAGGTCCTGATGTTCAGCCATGTGGGGATGGGCTTTGGGCATCCTGTAATCTGGCAGACAATATCAGCAAGTACAAAAAGACCTGTAAGGTAATGAGTAGTAGAAATGTTAGTTGCACTTCCTCATGTGTGATACAGATAATAGAATACTAGAATTGAAATCATATAAGTAAAACATTTTTTAAAAATCTAAAAATTTATATGTAGAGAAGGTACTTTTGGAAGCATGGCCTTTGGAGAAGATGCCATTGATTTTGGAGCCAAGAGACCTGGGTTAAAGTCCCAAGTGTGGATTGACTCTGAGGCTTGTGAAGGTCACTTAATCCTAATCAATCTTTGCTTTCTAATATGATATATGGGGGCAATACTTGTGGGATAGGGTAGTAAAAATTAACAGTGGGATAATATACATGAAAGTGCATTCATTCTTTCATTCCATTCATTTGTTCAGCAAATACTCATTGCTTGTTTTGTGTTATGTGCCAGGCACTGGTTGGTGCTAAGGAGATGAAATTAAAGAAGAAAGCTGTGATCATTGCCCTTCCGATCTTATAGATAACTAGACTATACAGAAAGCTGAACCACATTATGTACTTGGAAAGTACCATGTGACTATTTTAGCTGGGGCAGTTAGAAAAACTTTAAGAAATATGGCACTTAGATGGGTAATGGCACTTTAAGGGTAACTCTACCCTTAAGGGTAGAGTTTTGACAGACAAAATGGAGGAAGGGGACCTCTAGGCAGAGAAATTGAGTGTGAGCAAAGAGAAAGTGAAGGGAATAATTGGATAAAATGAGTGGTTCAATGAGGACAGGAATGTCAGGGCAGGAAAAATAGATTGGGCTTGGCCTTGGCTTCTCCTTCCCATTCCCTCCACCTTTCAGCGTGAGATTTTTAGCCGCTCATTTGTGGAATAGAGCTGAGAGGAGGGTGATCAGCCACATGGGATCCAATCACTAGCTTCTTCATTTTTAGTTAAAATTATGACAAGGCAAGATTAAACACAAAGAAGGGCTGGGTAGGTATGTATGTCAATCTGGGAAGGACTAAATTCTAGGGGAGCTAGTTGGGATCTTTTCTCTAGCCCTCCTAGAAGTCTTGTAGAATTTGACATTCATCTCCTTTTGTCTTGAAAATCTGTGCCATTTATAGTTTTCAGGGGGAGAAGCTAAATTCTGTTTTTGATGAGCTGAGTTTAAGATGGCCCGTTTGGAAGTGGCCCGTTGTTAGGCAGAATTAACTACACATTTAGTAACTTCAAGGCAGTACCTAACCTAGTGCTAGGACTTCTTTCTCTCCTTTTTACCAATGTTCTTGATACTGGGAATACAAGGTCCCAAACCTACAGAAGACTCGTTGATTTGGTGGCAGGTCTGAACTTCAGTAGAGACTTAAAAATCCTCAGAGCTGACTGTATACACTTCCCGGAAGTACTGTGATACAGTTCGTCTTCCTACTGCGGTATAAGGTGAATTATTCATTCAGTTACTTCTTAAGGAAATGCTTATCAAACATCAACCATATGGCAGATATTAAGTGCTGGGAATGCAAGAGGTATAAGACACCACTCCTGATCTTAAGGAACCTACGGTCTTAAGCTGTACACACATGTGTACAACTGTGGTCTGATAGGATAAGGACAGACAGATCATAAGAAGGAAGTATGATGAGAGAGGACAGATCATAAGGGAGTATGATGAGAGCCCAAGAGGAAGCAGGGTGGCTGCATAGCTGACCTCTTCACCCCCTTCAAGTTTTTGCTCAAATGTTCTCATTTGGATGAAGACCACCCCAACTCTCCTTTTAAAAAGGGCAGCATCTGCCACCTCAACAGTTCTGAGCTCCCTCACCCTGTTCTACAGTTTTGCTTTTTCCATTGCATTTATTGTCCTCTGTCCCAGTTGGCTGTCGCTGAATAACAAACCATCTACAAACTTACTAGCTTAAAACAATGATTGCCTCTGTCTCCCTGTTCTGTTGGTTGACTGTACTTGGCTGGGTAGTTCTTGCTTGGGATCTCTCCTATAGTTGCAGTCAGACATCAGCCAGGGTTGCCATCTTTCAAAGGTGTAACTGGGCGGGATGTCCAAGAGGTTTTCTCACATGGCTGGCTATTGAGGCTGCTGTCAGCTGGGAGCTCAGCTGATGCTGTTCACCAGAACATCTTCATGTGGCCACTCCGTGTGGCTTGGGCTTCTTTATATGACAACTGGGTTCTAAGAGATAGTGTTCAAAGATTGAGCATTCCAAGGGGTAGGAAGTGGAAGGTGCCAGGCCAATGGCAGACCACCTTTGGAATTAGGACAGCATCACTTCTTCTATATCTATTGGTCCTAGGACCTGCCCAGATTTACTCTTGCTGGGGGAGTGGCAAGGTCACATTGCAGAAGACCATATGGGATGAAAGATACAGTTGCAGCCATTGTTGGGAAGTCATTCTGTCATACTTCCTAAGTTAATATAAAGTTTATTTTTATGCCTATTTTTTGTTGACTCTTGCTAGGGTATAAGCCCCATGAAAGCAGGTGTACCCACTGATGCATTCCAAGCACCTAGAACCATGCTTGGCACGTATGTACACAATGAATGTTTGTTAAATGTTCAATGAATGGTGTCTGTTCCTCTGCGTTTAGGTTGTTGCCTGTCCTCGGGGTGTGGGTATTAATCTCATTCCTAATTTACATTCTTTTCTCTTTTAACAGACCGTAACACTCTATAAGGGCTGTTAGCATGCCTTTTTATTCACCACCATATTGCTCAGTGCCTGGCAAGGAGCTGATGTTCAATAACTGTATGTTAAGTGAATGAGATGAGACCATATTTGAGCTGGGATCTGAAGGATACATAGTATTTTGCCAAGAAAAGAAGGAGGGGTAGAGCACAAAGGCAGAAGAAAATACTGTGTGGTAAAAGAGAAGGATAAATGAGACTGCAGTGAAACTATGAGTCCCCTGAAGCTAGGTCCCACCCGATTTGACCTCTAGTCTATTTCTCATAGGACATAACTGGTGATTCCATTTGCCGTACCCTCTGCACATGCTTGTTGAATGAATGAATGTCAAAAGAGTGTGTAATACATGAACTCATATATGGCTTTTTTTGTGGGGAAGCAGTTGGGTTAGATAAAATCAATAATAACTCTTGCTAATTGAGAAAATCTTATACATACAAACCCAGAAATATTTGTTAAAGTATTGAAAAATAGTAAAATGTAATATTTTTGAGCATAACAAAAGCTAGTTCAATTTGTCACATAACTTGCAATCAGAGTAGAGTCATTTATAGTCTTATGTTGCCTTCCTGCCCATTGTATGCCCAAGAGAATGCGGCAAAATATTTAGGGTCAACCCTGAAACTTAGACCAAATCTTAAAAGGGAAAGAGACTAATTTTTAGGTCAAGGGGAAAGAAGAATGAGCCATGCATTTTTCTTTTTTCTTTTTTGAGACAGAGTCTCACCCTGTCACCAGGCTGGAGTGCAGTGGCATGATCTTGGCTCGCTGCAATCTCTGCCTCCCAGGTTCAAGCGATTCCCCTGCCTCAGCCTCCTGAGTAGCTGGGACTAGAAGCGTGCACCACCATGCCCGACAAATTTTTTGTGTTTACTTAGTAGAGTTGGGGCTTCACCATGTTGGCCAGGATGGTCTCGATCTCCTGGCCTTTTGTGATCTGCCTGCCTCAGCCTCCCAAAGTGCTGGGACTACAGGCGTGAGCCACCGTGCCTGGCTGAGCCATGCATTTTTCAAAGGGATAATGAAAATCAACAGCAAGACAGCAGAGTAGTGAAATCCATGGTACAAACACAATTTTTAAAGAAAATTAACACAAATTACTATTTGTAATTTAATCTTTAAATTTAATAATGCTTTAAAAATCTTGTGTCTTTTCTATAAGCTTGTAAACCAGATATTAAAATTTCAAGGAAAAAAAATCTATTTAAGCCTTTCATATCTTAAGCCGTAAGAAATATTCAGTGACAGGAAAATAGAGCACTTGTATGACTTCTTGTGCTTTCCATTCACATAGTGGTTTAAAAAAACCCCAAAATCAAGCCCAATTACCTTATCTTTAATTATATTTAGCAGTAGAGTTTATTAATCGTCTATGCAAAATCAATCTTTTCCTTTGCCCAGTTCTGTATGAAAGTACTAACAAATAGTGAATATTTTGTGCAAATAATGACTCATAAAAATGTAGACTCAGCCATAGATTTTAATTTATATGCCTTGAATCTGACAACTGTACAAAAATAATGTGAAAAATAAAGCAATACTTGAGACATGAAGCAACCCATTTTTCCTGATTTGGCATCCTGTTAGCAGGGAGAAGTCTGTGGTGCTTCATATAGGCAAGAGCTTGGCACGGCCTTAACCATGCATAGTCTTCCATAGGTCCATTGATACCTTCAGTTCTTCAGGTGGATCATTTTCAGCTCTGGAAGCATTGTGCGCTTTAATCAGTCATTCTTACTTTTATGTCCTGCCATCTCTAGTTGTGGAATTTTTCTGGCTAGAGCCTAGTGGTTCATTTTGCATGAGTTGCGAGCCTCCCTCATTGCCATCTCAGCCAGTGAAACTGATTTATCACCCAGAGTGATCACATGCCCTTCAAGTATTTTATGATAGTATTCACATGTATATATATTCACACACACACACAAATCAGATTTTTTCCTGACTCTTTATCAGGCACGTCCAAGAATGCTGAAAGTTTATTCCTAGCCCTTCCAGCAGGTATGACTGTAGTCTGATTTCCAAAAGTCTGAAGAACCTGTTTGATCACTTCTGAATGGGAACAAGACGCAGCGGTTCCTGGGGGTTTCTCCTTGTAGGATGTATGGCTTTCACATTTGAACCACCATCTGCCATCACCCAAACTGTATATTCAGAAAGTGGCTTATGTTTTTCCTCTGGCACCAGGGTTACCATTTATAGCCACACACTCGATAATGGTGACATTCTTTCAAAGATCCTAGTGTAGCATCAAGGAGGTCAGACAGTGGTATTTTCTGCTAGTACCTCTCTGAAGCTTGGTTATTTCCTTCAGAATATCCCAGAAGATAACCTGGTCTGCCACATCGACATGTCCTGCAGTAATTTTCTGCACAGTGGGGCGGGCAATCTTGAGGTGAGAGAGCATGTGGCCATTTATCGTCTCCCCTGGAGGTTCCTTCTAGGCTTGGCCTGTGGCCTTCTTGTGGGCACTGCTGTGGCAGACCCACTGCCTCCTTACCCCACTAGACCTCAGGCCTTCATGTGAGTTTTCCTTTTTTTTTTTTTTTTAAAGAGCTTTATTGGAAGATAGCTCACATACCATAAAATCCACCCATTTAAAGTGTACAGTTCAGTGACTTTTAGTATATCTACAGATATGATTCACCTATCACCACCACCAGTTTTAGAATATTTTCATTGCCTTCAAAAGAAACCCCACCTTTTATTCATTGCTGCCCTCTCTCCCCAAGAAACCACTAGTCTACTTTGTCTCTATAGATTTCCCTATTCTGGGCTTTCATATGAATGGAATAATACAATATGTGGTATTTTGTGACTGGCTTGTTTCACTTAGCTTCATGTTTTCAGGGTTCATCCACATTTGGCATTTATCAGTATTTCATTCCTTTTTATGGTCTATTGTATGGACAGACCACATTGTGTCTATCCATGCATTTGTTGACAGATGTTTAGGTGGTCTCCTCTTTTGGCTATTGTGAATAATGCTGCTGTGTACATCGGGGTACAAGTTTTTGTGTGAACATATGTTTTGTGTGAACATTTCATTTCTCTTGGTTATATGACAAGGAGTGGAATTGCTGGATCATATGTAACTCTGCTTAATCATTTGGGGAACCACCAGACTGTTTTCCAAAGCAGCTGCCTCGCTCTACACTCTCAGCAGCTGTGCCTGGTGGTTCCAGTTTCTCCAGATCTTCATCAACACTTGCTGATCTGACTTTTCGATTCTAGTTATCCTAATGGGTGCAGACTCATGTAGATTTTCTTTTTTAACTGTTAAATTTTGTGGGTGCATAGTAGATGTGTATATGTATGAGGTGTGTGAGATACAGCAAACAGGCATACGATGCATAATAATTGATACAGGCATTCAGTGTGTAATAATCACATCAGGGTAAATAGGGTATCTGATACCTCAAGCGTTTATCTTTTGTGTTACAAATAACCCAATTGTATTCTTCTAGTTATTTTAAAATGTGTATTTAATTATTGACTAAAGTTACCCTGTTATTCGGTCAAATACTAGAACTTATTCTTTTTTTTTTTGTACCCATTATCATGTAGGTTTTAAAAGATTTTGGGAAGGATTTTCCCCTTCGTAATAGTTTTTTAATGCAATGTACACATTTTGGGCATTCTCTTTCCTAGCATCTGTAAAAGCATGACTCCTAAGAGGTCCTCTTGCCTGTCACAATAATGAAATTTCATTGTTTGTTAACCAAAAAATTTCATTGAATAAAACCAGTGTGGAATACTTTTGTGAAATGTGCGAGTTGAAGGGAGGAAGGGGTGTGGGGAGAAGCGGGGCAGTTGGCATAGCTCCTGGGGTGTTGGTCTCCTCCAGGAAACTGCTGTGATTCTCTTCCATGTGTCTGACTGGTCTGTTTGCCTTTCAGGAGGACTGGCGTTAGCCCAGGTGCTCTTTTTCTACGTGAAGTACTTGGTGCTCTTTGGCGTGCCTGCTCTGCTCATGCGCCTGGATGGACTCACTCCACCCGCCCTCCCCCGCTGCGTGAGCACCATGTTCAGTTTCACCGGGATGTGGAGGTCAGGCGCTGGGATTGCTAAAGTTGGTCAGGCATGTCCAGTGGGAGGAGCATGGCTGGGCCGGCCTCAAAGGGTTCGGGCTACTATCCTCTCCCTGTCTCTCACTCAAGCTGCATTTGGCATCCATTTCTTCATCCTACTAACAGGATGACTAATCCATGCTTTCTGGGTCTCTCACAATTATGATTAGTCTGTGTAGATAGGTGAGATAAGAAAGTTTCTTTCTGAGTCTGTGTACCGATGCACAAAGGGTTATGTTTGAAGTGGTTTCTTACTAACCTGGGAAAGGCTACTGTATCTTGATTTATTTAATTGCTTTCTCTTTTTCTTGAAAATGACATCAGTGTATGTGAGACTGTTAAGAAAAATAGACTCAGGATAGGAGGTTAGGCCAGTGTTGCAGTATACTATTTACTAAATCTAAGTTTCATTTTTCTTATCTCTTAAACAGTAGTAAAGATAATCCCTGTCTCCAGGAGTTGTTTTGAAGATTAAATAACCTAATGCATGTAGAGCAGGTGGTATATAATAGATGTTTACAAATGTTAGCTTTAACACTTGTGTTATTCCTATGCTCTGTGGACATGATAGATACTTTTTTCTGAAATTTTCTTTCTTTTCTAGATTTTGACCCATAGTCTTATGGTTGGTGTGGAGTCTCTTTTCCTTAGTCCCCCTGCCATTTCAGATTGTTGTTTTCTACGTGATGGACTTGTTGCTGTGTTCCTCTTATCGCTTCCAGAGTGTAACAAGTGACAGGATTGAGTTTGCAATTGAAAACCTAATGGAAGAACCTCAGGGTCAGCACTGGCACAACCATAGGAGTCGGTGCCTTATTCATGTGGCTCATTCCTTTTTATTTTTTAATTTTTGAGACAAGTTCTCACTATGTTTCCCAGGCTAGTCTCAAACTCTGGGCTAGATCCTTCCGCCTCAGCCCCCCAGTAGTTGGGATCACAGGCTTATTCATTCTTAAATTTCATCTCTATAGGCAAAAAAACCAAGACACAGGTAGGGGAAGAGCTCAATAAATACTGCCATATCTAATGTTGCCATTCAAAAGGAGGTAGTTAGCACTCAACATCCTGATTTTTCATAGTAACTTATTACAGATGCTGAATTTATCAAAGCCTCTCTAAATACATTTTATTTTTGGTCTAGTTTGCTTCTTGGAGTAAGAAATTTCATATGGTTATTGCAAGGAATTGCAAGGAATGAATTGCAAGGAATTGCAAGGAATGAATTGCAAGGAATTGCAAGGAATGAATTGCAAGGAATTGCAAGGAATGAATTGCAAGGAATTGCAAGGAATGAATTGCAAGGAATTGCAAGGAATGAATTGCAAGGAATTGCAAGGAATGAATTGCAAGGAATTGCAAGGAATGAATTGCAAGGAATTGCAAGGAATGAATTGCAAGGAATTGCAAGGAATGAATTGCAAGGAATTGCAAGGAATCGCAAGGAATCGCAAGGAATGAATTGCAAGGAATCGCAAGGAATTGCAAGGAATTGCAATTGCAAGGAATTGCAAGGAATTCAAGGAAGGAATTGCAAGGTTTCTTTTTGAAAGAAACCCTTCAAAAGGTGGGGTTTCTTTTGAAGGTAATGACATTGCAAGGAATGTTGAGTAGTTACTCTGATTTGTCCTTACTTCATCAAATATCACACGTTGCCCTGTTTTCATGGCAAGATTGCGGAATGTTGGCAAAGAGGTGCTCTCTAACTAGAAGGCCAGGGAGTGGTTTTTGTTGAAAAGGTGACCCTGGTTGGAAGGTTCTGTTAACTTTTGATTTACTCATCAAAGTCACTTACTGAGTCAATGGGTTGGGACCCAGCATGATTTGGGAACATGTCACAAGTGTCTGGTGTGAACCTTGCACAGTCCCTCTGCCTACTCAGTGTGAATGCTTGTACTCTTGCATTTCTTGGGAAGCACATACCCCTAAAAGGCTTCTCCCATATTGGCTGGCATGATAAAACCATAACTCCCTGGCACACATGCTGGTTTCTGGGTCCATGTCCATAAATACCAACCCACTGTGTCACCAGAGGCAGTTTCGGCAGTTGACTATATTTCATATTCAAAATGATTGTCTTGTCCTTTATTTTAATAATTTTTTTTTTGTCCAAGGAAGACCTTCAGTTCTATATCAACCACAGAGGTGGAGAGAACATGTCTGTCAAGACCTTTGTCACTGTCTTGATTAGAACTAGACTCATATAGTTGAGACCCCAGGCTGCTGAAACAGTCTCTCCTCTCCCTCATTTAAGACAAATGTGGACAAAAGAGTAGTAATGAAAAGTTAATCTGAGGAGGAAGCTCTGGGGTGACCCCTTGGAATGATGTCGTTCTAAAAAGAGGTGTTTCTGAGGGCATGTGACAAAGTAACAAAGAGGGCCTTTCCTGGGAGTGACCTAGACTTTTATCCTAGCTTCTTTAGCATGCATAGGTGTAGGTTTTCCACTCCACATTTTTAGGTTTCTTGAAGGATTTTCCAGGCTACTAATTATACTTAGAAACACACAGGTCTTTGTACAGAATGGCCATTCCATACTAAGTAGTTAAATTTAGGTATGGAGATGAACTTTTTCTGAGGCAGTGTACAATGTAAGACTCAGAAGTAGTTTTTTAATTGAAAAAAAAGAATAACAATTAGAGTGTCTCTTTTGTGTGATTTGCAGATGCTCCTTTACTAGTAGGAGGAGGTTGACCATGTTTCATGTTCAGTATCTGGTGGCATAACCCTGACACTGGTCCTGGTCTCATTCTCTAACTTTTCTCTTTAAGAATGCTTGTTAAAGGAAACTAGGTTTTGAATTTGTAATTTCTATTAACAGCTAACCTTACTTTTTCTGGGCCATCTGTTGAAGTATTGCTGCAGACAGGGAATGGCTCTCTTCCTAGATTTAGGTTTGAGACAAATTTAATCATGAGCAGATGTGAATGCTGGTGATGCAAATTATTCTGCTGGGTCATGTCAGCTATTCACATGGTGACATAAAGGGCATGGTGGATGGGAAGTGGAGGGAAGAAATGTGAAAACAATCTCCAGAGATGACTTAATGCTTACCTGAACTTCTCAAAGATCTACGCTGAATGAGGTTTAGAACTGCTGATAGAGGAATATTTAGCCACCCCCCATTTTAATGGAGCCATACCCTCCTGAACACCATGTTGACTGATTGCATCATCTTTCAGCCTACTTAGCATTGAGAGACTTGAAGTCAGCAGCCTGCCGTATCAGAGGAATATGAGCTCTACAGAGAACAGATAAAATTGGCCATTACCAGAGAGAAAATCTTCCTTGCCATGCTAGTTCAAATTGACTGTGAAAAATTGCAATTCACCAAGAAGGCCCAAACCTGAAAGTTAGAACCTGATGGGTTTGTTTTTCTTTCCTCTTAAATCTTCTTTTTCATATAATTTCTGCTCAGATTATTTACAGATATAACAAGACTCCAAGGAGTACGTGTATTCCCGCTTGCATGATTTTTCTGGGGTCTTATGGACCTGAGAAATTGATAATTTTCTGCTTAATTTTTGGATTTCACGTTTTAATTTAGATGGGCTGAGATCTGTAATGAGCATTTTTTGCCAGGAGTCATTAAAGATGACGTTGTATGTCTAAGACTCCAAATTAGAGACCTGATCCTATTTTCGTGATTTGATTTCTAGCTATGGAAGCAAAGCGATAGAATTTCCCATGGTGGCTGGTGAGTTGTGGGTCAGTTTCAATTATTTCAGGAATCCTGCACAGCTTGCCCTCTGCATTTCTTGAATTATGATGCTTTCAGGTGTTCAGAGGCAAACTCATGCATGATTGCTTATCCCAGGGGGATCTGGGTGCTGTTGGTGGCTGCTAGACCTTAATATATAGGAGTATCTTTAGGCTGAGAATGAGGAGGAATCTGAGCACCTTCTTTTAGTGAGGCATTGATTGCATGGGCTTTTAGGTCAATAGAATAATTTAGGTCCCTAGGTAGAGAGTTGGTTCAGCATGTTAGATGATAAATCAGTTCTACAAACTGCTGGCTTTGCATTAGTACTGCCTTTGAATCATGCTTAACCACCAGTTGCAGGACAGGATGGTGGTCCTGGAGTTGGTGAAGTATATTATCATGTCTACTGGGATTGTTGGGTAGAAGGCTGGAATAGGGTGAGCATAAAGAAGAAAAGGTCAAATAGGTGCTGTTAATAAAATACTGCTTTTTTTTTGGCAGCAGTCTAGTGACTAAGCGCTGGCTACCTACTAGTTATGTGACTTTGGACAAATAATTTAAATTCTCTGGGCCAATCTTTTAATCTCTGAGGAGAATACTACTACTTTGCCTCATAGGGGTGCTATGAGGATTGAGCGAGCCTGGCGTATAGTAGGTCCTCAGGAAGTGGTAGTTTCTTAGTACTTTTTCTTTGCTTGAAAATCAAACAAAGCCAGAGGTGACTGAGAGGTCCTCCTGCTAATGGGCCGGGTAGGGAGGAAGTGAGCAGTGATGGGACTGGCTGATGAAAGGCTCAATTTCAGCTCTGCACCGGAGATGTGATGATTCTGAGATAGAGACTATGGTGGAAGCAGTATGGGCTGGACCTTCAGAGGAGTGGCCTTGGTCTTGTCATTTTTGTCTGTTTCCTTATGTGAGAGGAGGACTGAGGTGTTAGATGAAAACTAGGAACACCATCTTGTCACTAGATGATGCCTGTGTTCCCCTCTACTTGTCTGTTAGCCCCAGCCACATTGAAGGGAGATGACCACCAGGATCCCTGTGCTAAAGTACATCCACCCCGACAAATCTCCTTATTCCTCAGTTTCTTGAGGCATTAAAATGGGGCTGATCATAGTACTCATCTCACTGGATTGTTGTAAGGGTTAGGTAAGATCATGTACTAAAGCACTGGATACACGGCAGGCATGCTGCAGAGATACCAAAATATAAATGATTAACTGATCATTACATAATTATATAAATAATGATTAATAATCATTACAAATAGAGTAAAATTTATGCCATTTGTTCGTTTGTGGTTTTATTTATGAGACAGTGTCTCGCTCTGTCACCCAGGCTGGAATGCAGTTTTGTGATTATAGCTCATAGTGGCCTCTACCTCCTGGGCTCAGGTGATCCTCCTGCCTCAGCTTCCCAAGTAGCTGTGACCAGAGGCACACACCACCATACACAGCCAATTTTTTTTTTTAAAGTTCTGGGATACATGTGCTGAATGTGCAGGTTTGTTATATAGGTATACATGTACCATGGTGGTTTGCTGCAACTATCAACCCGACTTCTAGGTTTTAAGTTCCGCATGCATTAGGTATTTGTCCTAATGCACTCCCTCCTTTTCTCCCCACACCTGGCTAATTTTTAAATTTTTTGTAGAGGAAGGGTCTCTACTGTTTTGGCCAGACTGGTCTTGAACTCCTGGCCTCAAGCAATCCTCTCACCTTGGCCTCCCAAAGTGCTGGGATTACAGGCATGAGACACTGTGCCCAGACCCACCATTTGTTTGTTTTTTAATTTCTCAGAAAAGAAAGACCCGATAGGGTGCTAAGTGTTGAAGTAGATGGAAGGTAGAAGAGGTGAGTGACAAAAGGTGAAAGACGGATTTCAAATTAGACGCATGGGAGTCCCCTGAATCTGCCCCAGTATGACCTCTCCCTCACTGCTCACAGAGCTCTTATTCGTTCATATAGCTTTGCAAGCAGTTTCCAGCCACTAGACATTTATATTACCTCACATTTTAGGTACCTACCTTAGTCAATCCCCCTCTCTCATAGTCCCATCTCAACAAACTCAAAAGATATTTTCTTTCTTGTAACATTCATATTTTAAAATCCCCTTTCCTTTTCCTTCAAACATAGACTTCCATAGATCAAAGTGGAAAGGGACTATCAAGTTAAAGCAAATTTTACGAACCATCATTATGTTTCGCTTCCTGGATTTATTTTTGCTTCACAGATAGTGTGTCCTCTTCTCCATTTTCTCCCTGTGTGGAAGATTTTTTTTGGGTGCCTTTACTATTGACAAGCTCTTGGATGAGTTTTAGAGTAAGAAGCAATCTGATGTAAGAAGCACCAGACATTTTCAGATGGAAGATGTTGATCACCAGTCACCAGAACATAGTGTTTGAGGCCACAGATCTAGAGCCTGAACTGCCTGGGTTTGAATCCTGGCTCCACTACTTACTAGCTGATGACCTCTCTGTGCCTTCGTTTCCTTCTCTGTAAGATGGAGATACTATAAATGGTATCCAATTCCTAATGGAGCTGGAACCCTGTACCTTTCATGGTAATAGTCACACTCTACTTGGTTGCAACCCATCAGCATATAAGCCCTTTGAAGGCAGTGATCATGTCTTATTCTTGTTTAATGCTGTAACCGTAGCACCCTCCTCAGTGCCCAGCATTCAGTGGAAAGCTATGCTGAATGGACAGGTGGTCACTCTTCTGAAATTTTGATCACCAGGTCTTAAGAGCAAGATTTCCAAGTATTTAGGTCTGGCAGCTGAGCGGCTTCTCTCTGCAGCATGTGGTGACATGTGGCTGTAGGTGTACTGTACCATGACTGCTTGTTGATACTCCACTGTCATCTCCCTGTTTTTCTCATTAAGTATTAATACGTGACATGCCAACATATCACATCTGCCGCAATTTATTTGAGAATGGCTTTGCCTTGTAAGGAATCTAGAAAGAAGAGTGTTTGCCTTTCTTACTTTATGACTGTCATTATTTTATCAGATGTTGTGCCACATCCTAGATAAGAGATGAGGGAGAAAGTTACAAATGTAAAGGAAGAAAAAGGGATTCAATTCAGACTTGGCTAGGAGAGAGGAGTTTGGCAACTGTTTATCTTTGGGGGTAGGATTTTTCTGAGGGGGGTGCTGAAAGGAGATATCCTAATGCCTTACAGAGGAAGATGAGGAACTGGATGCAAGGCTGGGAGAGAAGCCCTTCTAAAACACATCCTCAGAATAGCCCAAACTCTAGTAATAATAATCGTAATAATAACAGCAATAGCAGCAGCAGCAGCGCGAAGAACACATAATGCTTACGTTCTGCCAGGACAGTTATTTTTAAACAATGTTTTAAATTCATTTAAAATAACATTAAGCCCATTAGATGTTAATATAACATTTTTTTCTGAAAAAGTAACTGTTTTCCAATATCAAATAATTTAGTGAGAAGTTTTTTGCAGATTTAAACAAAATTCTCCTAGCAATTTTCAATGCATTGTTGTTTACTTTAGTCACCGTATTATATGACAGATCTCTTGAATTTACTCCTTCTAACTGAAATTTTGTATCCTATGAAGTAGTTACTGTAATTACAGATAATCCGGGGAAATGGACAAATATTAAGAACAAGTCTAATTCATCTAAAATATTCACCACCTTTGGAAAGTAAAATTATCTGATCCTGTAATAAGATCAGATAACATCTCAAAATCAATTAGAAGGTACTTGAGCTATTACAGCTTTGAAAATGTCTGTCCCTGTGTTTGTGCACGCACACACACTCAAGTATAATTTATTCAGAAAAAAAATCCTCCCACACGGCTTGTTCCCACTTCTGCAAGGACAGTTCTAATTTCTTTTATATATTCAATGTATTTAATCTTTACAAAACCCCTGTGAAGTAGATACTATTATTTTTGCCACTCTACAGGTGATGAAACTGAGGCATAGAGAAGTGGAGTAACTCTCCTCAGATCACACAGCAAGTGAGTGGTGGAGCTGCGATTTGAATCCAAGCACATGGCTCTTGAGTCTGTGCTCTTGATCACTCCCTTCTACTGTCTCTCTAGTGAAATGGAACTGAAGCAGATTTCTCCTTCGTGATCTGGAGTATGGGGCTTGTGGGACAGGATCTGGAATTTCGGGGTACCTGAGAATGACTATGGCTTACATACTGACCCCTAGAAAGGGAAATGGTTCAGGGAGTGATGGGAATGGTTCAGTCTGTGTCACAGTTGATGAAAATAAACTCTGTAAAATATTTAAAGAGGTTTATTCTGAGCCAAATATGAATGACCAACACCCAAGACACAGTCTCAAGAGGTCCTGAGAACCTGTGTTCATTAGGTTATAGCTTGGTTTTATACCTCAAGGAGATATAACACATCAATGAATGCACATGAGTTATACATTGGTTTGGTCTGGAAAGGCAGGACAACTTGAAGTGGGGGCTTACAGGTCATAGGTGGATTTCAAGATTTTCTGATTAACTATTGGGAAAAGAGTTATTATCTAAAGACCTAGAATCGATAGAAAGGAATGTCTGGGTTAAGAGAAGGGGTTGTAGAGACCAAGGTTCTTATTATGTAGATGAAGTGGCTGCTCTTAGAGGCAATAGATGGCAAATATATCCTCTTCAGACCTTTAAAAGGTGCTCAACTCTCAGCCAATCTCTTCAAGATCAGAAAAGGACCTGGAAAGGGAAGGGGATTCTCTACAGAATGTAAATTTCCCCTGCAAGAGACAGCTTTGCAGGGTCATTTCAAAATATGTCAAAGAGATACATTTTAGGGTAAAATACTTTAATTTCTTTCAGGGCCTGCTATCTGTCATGTAATGCTATACTAGAGTCAGGTTGGAATTTGGTATCTTATTGCCACAAAGCGTCTGTTTTGTCTTAAGATCTCTGTTTTAAGGTTAATGCTGGTCACTTGTGCCTGAATTTTGAAGGGAAGAGAGTATAATGAGGCATGTTCAACCCCTTCTTCCCATGATGGCCTGAACTAGTTTTTCAGGTCTACTTTTGAATCCCCTTAGCCAAGAGGAGGGGTCCATTCAGTTGATTGGGGGGCTCAGAGTTTTGTTTTCAGTTTACAGCACCGAGGGGGACGGGATGGGGAGAAAGGGAGTCACCAGTTTAACCTGAGTCACTGACTGGGTGAATGGTGTGGGGCCACTGGGGGCTTCTGTTCTTACCTTACATCCTTGTGTTACAAAGAGCAATCCAGAAACAGCTGCCCTGATGGAGGAAGGAAGTGGAGGCTTTACCTGCTGCCCACAAAGACTTAATTTGACTTAATTTCTCCTGCCATTGTCTCCTCCTGCATCTCCTTTCCCACAGCCACCTTGATGACTGTCCTCTTCTTCTCTTCCTTTATCTCAGTTCATGCTGGGTCAGGTCCTCCTTGCTAATGAAAAAAGAGAATTGTCTGTCCTACATCTGCTGGTCTTCAAGCTTCTGGGTCTGCTAGCTCTACCTTATTTCTAATTCAGACATCCCTTCAGCAAAGTCGTGTTGCTTTTTGCCCCACCTCAGTTCTGAGGACTGAGTGCAACCTTCTGTTTCTCTGAAATATTTACAGAATATTTGGATATGTCAATTTCACATTTATATGCAATTAAGTCTCATTCTTTTCCTGTATAATTTCTGCCTTTAGTCATCAGCTGAGACTTCATCTTCTACACTCCATCTAAAATTTATTTTTACGTAGGGCAGAAATTCCTAATTTGGGGATCCACAAGCCACTGAATCAGTTTTTCTTTAGCTTTTAGAAAGACCACCCCCCATAGAATCCCTGCCTCCTAGCATGGGGGCTGGCACATAGTAGGCACTTAACAAACCGATATTTTCTAAGTGAAAGAATGCATGATCCTTCACTATTCCCACTCCTTTGAGGAAGAGATAAATAATAATTATTTATTTTCTGAGACAGGCTCTCGCTCTGTTGCCGAGGCTAGATTGCAGTGGCGCCATCACGGCTCACTGCAACCGCCACCTTCTGGGCTCAGGTGGTCTTCCTGCCTCAGCCGCCTGAGTAGCTGGGACTATAGATGTGCACCACCATGCTTGGCATATTGAATTTTTGAAATATAGGTTTAACTTAATTTTTTATTTCCAGTGGTTAACCTACCAGCCTAAGTGCCTTTATGGTGATCATAAAATGCTGTCTTTTGCCATAGTCTGTATTTCCTATGTTGACCTGAGACTTCCTGGGCCCATCCTCCAGCGGCATGCATTCCAGGTTCTGTGTTTCTTTAAAATGTAAATGTTGCCATTTTTGTGTGTATTGAAAGACTCAGCATTAGAATCCAAGAAGGAGGTTGTGTTTCTTTATTGAGTCTAGTGGATAAGAGTGAGTCTGACGAGGAGGGAAATGTGGTGAACTTGCCTGGTTGGAGTCCACACTTCTTTTCTTCCTAACTTGGCCTCACCTCAGGTGTTTTTTTTTTTTTCCGTTTTTTTTGTTTGTTTGTTTGTTTGTTTTTGAGACAGGGTCTTGCTCTGTCACTAAGGTTGGAGTGCAGTGGCTCAATCAGGGATTACTGCAGCCTCAACTTCCCAGGCTCAAGTGATCATCCTGCCTCAGTCCCCCAAGTAGTTGGGACTACAGGTGTGGGCCACCACAACTAGCTATTTTTTTTGTTTTTTTTTAATTTTAGTAGAGATGAGGTCTCGCTATGCTGCCCACACTGGTCTCGAACTCCTGAGTGCAAGCGATCCACCTGCCTTAGCCTCCCAAAGTGTTGGGATTACAGGTGTGAGCCACTGTGCCGAGCTCACCCCAGTTCTTATTAACTAGGCAGACCCTTTTGAGTCCTGGCCAGGCCCTGGCAAGGCTGTGTACTTTGTGTTAGGCTTACCTTGCCATCCATCATGCTGTACCTTATCCTGGTTTTCTGGCCTTCATCCCTCTACCTTTAATGCAGGAACTTCTGGATCTCTTCTTGCACAGGGGTTGCTGAGGAAGACTTAGCAGTGCCAGCCAAGCCTCCTCCTTCACTCTGCCTAACTACATTTATTGTGATATGATCACCCTGTGTTTTTGTGGGATGCATCTTGCAAGAGTGGTTTATCAGAGTCCTAACCAGGAAGTAAAGCCAGAGCCTCTCTGATTGGGTTTTTACCTCCACCTACATGACAGACTTCCCTTTCAGGATGCCATGGGGTGACCTGAGGGCAGGGGAAGCTAGAACATGGGACTGAATAATTTCATCCTCTTCTTTCTCTTTCTTTTTCTTCCCATGGTTCACTGTGTCACAAGGGATTGGTTTTTTGTTTCATCTTCCTATTCTCTCTTGATGACATATTCTTCTTTAGGGAAGGAAGCCTTGTGGCCCAGCCCTTGTAGGGCGAATGGCGTATTCTTTTTGTAATATGGAGGAAAATAAGTTTTGACTCATTAGATTTGATTCTGAATTTGTGAGCAGCCAGACAACCACTAGGAATGAGGGATTGCTGAGAACAAAATTCATTGTTTTAGTTAAAAAAAAATCCCTGTTAGGATTAACTTATTTATTCTTGTGTAATTATATTGTTAAGTAAGGATTTAGATATTATCATCAATGAGAATCAGAGACACTGATATGTCCCAGATCACAGAGCTGGTATGTGCTAACTGCATTTAAATCCTAATCCTCTTAATAAGGTTTTGAACCATAAGTGTGTTTGCTCATAGAGGAGCATGTGAAAATTTGCGTATTCTGTAGCACTGTGGGTGAATAGGTTTTTTCTTCCTGTTAGACCAAGAAGAAAGGCAGAAGTTTTCTTATCCTTTTTGTGAGTCCTGAGATTGCAGACGATTACAGCTACAGACAACATTTGTTTTGTGTTGCTATGCAGACCTACTGTCATCTTTATTCTAATCCACCTGTCTGTACAGACATTCAAAGACTTTCTCTTGGTATACTAACAAATTCTCTGATACTGTCCAACTGCTTACCTAATGAATAAGATGAATACTTTGTCTTCTGCTAAGAACCACAAACTGTAATTACCTGCAGGGTAAAAGTTAAGACAAATTCTCTGGTTGTCATGCTTGCAAACAATGCTTTATTCTTTAGCATGGTGTATAAGCCTGGCTCCAACCTTCTATTAGAAATTCCTCTCACTCACCTTACTGGCAATAGTGCAGAACAAGTCTTCATTCCTCAGTCCAGCCTATGCAGCTCTCTTACAAACCTCCATGACTTGGGTGCTGGCTTTTTAGTACCATAGGGCACACTCTCTGGACCCTTCTAATATCAGGCAAAATACCACTGAACTTCCGGAGGCCAGGGACTGCTATACCTTACTGTTTTGTATTTGATATTTTGCTTTAACACAGCCAGTGTTTTGGTATTTAGCAAGAGCCTTGCATTAGATTCTTGGTGTCATAAGTAAGATCTGAGGAACAGCCACATCAGTTTCTCCTGGGAGCTTGTTAGAAATTCAGGATCTTGGCTGCCAACTAAAACCCATGGAATCAGAATCTGCTTTTCAGCAAGATCTCCTATGAACAGTGTATGCATATTAACATTTGAGAGTCACTGGGCCAGATGACTTCTCAGGACTTCTCCTCCTTGACATGCCACGGCTCCATAGACTGCCTGGATGATGGCCATGAGTAACTGTAAATATGTTTGAATATTCAATATCTTACATTCACATGGATCACAGGGACCAGGACCCTGAAGAACTTAAATGGGAGTTTTTACTGACTTTACCAGGGGATGGGACCACAAAAGGACTGAAGAGACAGGTGACAACAAACTTGTTGACCAGCTCTAAGGCAGGGAGGGTGCTGGAGGGCAGCTCTTTGGAGGAGGTAAGGAATCAGGGAAGCTCGACTTACAGGTGCTCAAACCATATAAAGGCAACTGATCTACAGCCACAAAAACTTGGGAAAAATGAGTTGCCCCATTTGTTGTCACAGGATGCATTTGGCCTCCAATTAGTTTTCCTGTATATGACTTCTCCCCTTCTCTGCCTTCTTCCCACTGTTTCCCTAGAGTTGCTTTTTGTGTGTAAGAAGCCCACAGGGGAGGGACTCTGCCATTCAGGAAGAAATGCCCAGTTCCTGGTTTCTGGCCGAGTCCTGTAGGCATCCTTCTGTGGATTTTGGAGGATTGCCCACCTGATGTCCACTGCAGGGAGGGATCTAGTTTCCTGTGAGACTATTTACATAGGAGAGCTGACCTACCAGACTTCTGGAAAGCATCATCAGGGGCATGGCCTTACTGTTGAAATAGAGATGACAAGTTCAAGTAGGCATTCCATTTCTGGGAAACTTGCTAGCTGCAGGCTACAGAGGATTTGCTAAGAAGTTAATTAAAATATACATCGTGGGTATCCTACAGGTGGCGCCTGGGTTGTGATTAGTGAGTGATTGCGAGGCAGTCAGGCAAGGTTGCTTGCTGCATTATTTTAATCGAGGTTCTTCAGCTGGGAGTGGGGAACAGGGTTGTCATTAGGAGACTAAGGGAAATGGACTTGCAGAGGCTTGGTAATGGGGGCAGTAGCTCAGATCTTATGACACATTGTCATCATAATGTAAATCTGCAAATAATACTTGTCTAGTTGGTGGCTGACTTAATTGGTAGCAGTAATTGTCATAGCAATATATTTCCAAGATTCCTTGTATTTATGTTGCAGTTGGGATTAGGTCCCCTTCTTGCAGTCTGGTTTTAATGAAAAAACTGAGAGCTAAGATCTTAGGTTCCCCAGGATTTCTCAAGTGAGTTCCTACTACAGAGTGGGATGTGGTATATTTGAGACAGATGTATTTCCTCCTGAGTTGTGTGGTCACTCACTCTAATAGGATTGATCCAGAGGGAAATTCAAGGGACTGGTTTTATATGTTATGTTTTTTGTGTGTTTCATTTTCTATTAGATAGCAGATTTAATTTTCCGAAAGTTTTTAGCGAGATCATTTGCCAATATTTGCCTTTGGCTCAATCATGATCAACTAAAATGTGGCCTAGGTGCCTTCCTTCCTCAAGGCTGTTGGTTGTGAGAGTCCTATCAGTAGAACCAAGAAACTGGACCAGCCCCTTTCCTGGTTTGAGTAAAGACTTCAATTAGAGTTATAAGTGGAATTTGGCTGTGGTCCTTGGCTATTGGGATGGTGAAATAGGAAGGTGAGGGGCCGAATCTCTGGAATCTAAGAAAATCTTTAGCAGCCTAAGGGTTCTAGGTCTCTTGCCTGTGCTTCAGAGGAGAGGGAAGGATGTTAGGTGAGGTGGAGAGTGATTCTCTCCCACTCTGTGAAAGCATCTTCCTAGTGGAGCCTTGACCACAAGGGACTCTTCGGCCCTTTTCCAGCATAATGTAGGCAGAAAGGAATTTTCCTTATGACAAGTAGGGACAGGACCTGCCCTCAAGAAATCTATGCAGGCTGTTCTTGTGTGAGTTTGTCATATATGCACCTCAAAAGTGCCATTTATCCAGTCTTAGATGGATACTCTGGAACTGTTGGCCCCGAGGAATGTGTCATGAAATGTTTTTCTGGTGCTGGGAAGCATTTTTCTGGACCCCTTCCCTCCATAATGAGAGACAAGCATCTGGGAGAGGGTTTGCAGAGTGGTGGCATCTGTGTCATGCCATCTGACCCGTGTGGGCTTAAAGTGTGATCTCTTGGCTGTTGTACTCTGACCACTGAGTGGCTGGTGGAGGTGCCAGCAGCAGGAGTAGCAAACAGTTTGTCAGCTGTTCCCGGGCAAGTTTTATCAGCATCACACTGAACAGAGTGTCCCCTATCGTTTGACCTTTCCCCAGATTATTCTGTAACTTCATATTTGATTCTTGGATGGTCTAGATTATTCTCATCAATACTTCGCTTACAGACTATTTAGACTTGTTGTAGAGCCTCTCAGAATGAATTGTACCTGAAAGTCCAAATTCTCTTTGGTCAAGGAGTATTTATTGAGCACCTACTATGGGCCAACCATTGACAAATGTATATGATACAGAGCTGAATAGAGGAGTCCCTGCCCTCAGGGAGTTAATACTGACAAGTAATGTGTCACAAGACAGGCATGACCATCACTGAGTCTCCATAGCCCCTGAATGTTTAAAAACATTTCCACATCTATTGTCTCATTTGTTGGTTCAGTAGATTAGTCGGAGAAGGCCTTGTTTTTGTCATCTCCATTTTATTGATGAGAAAAATAAAAGCTTAGGTTAAATGATTTGCCCAGAGAGGAGAGTGGCAGACCTGAGACAACACCATGTCATCTCCCAATAGCATGTCCTAGTTTACTTGATGTTGGTTTCTGTAACAGTTTACCAGTGATTAGCTTTAAACTGTCATGTCTTTAAAATGTAAATATTGTGGTCAGTGGATACCTTGAAAACTAAATGAAATTACACTAATTCCCTGAAAATAAGTGAAATAAATTGTTTTGTTTGAATAATTGTACGTCACTTTGACATAAAGTTGTTGGAAAAGCAGAGCAATATTTTAATTCATTTAAAAAGCATTTAAGGGAGTTATGTAATGATGTAGTCTAGAGAATAGAGCATGAGCTTTGGAGTCCAGCAGACTCGGAGTCACATCCTGTCCTTACTAGTTCTGTCACCTCGGTCAAGGTACTTAACTTATCTAAGCCTTAGTTTCTCTACCTGTTAATGGGCTAATGATGCCTACCTGCTGGGGTGAAGGTGAGAATTTAATCTTTCTGTATAAATTAAGGTTCATGTTCTGTTTGTTACTGGACATTCAGGCATTAAAGGTGTGTGTGTGTATGTGTGTCTTTTGACTAAACTGACACAATATGAATTACATAGCTATTGGAAGTTCATATGGGGTAGAACAAGGTGTAGTCACCCTCCAGGGATACTGACACCAACGTCCAAAGTGTGCTGGAGGTGAATCAGGATTGAGAGAGACCTCACCTCCGTATTGAAATCCCACGGACAGACTGCAAGCTGAGGAGTCAAAGTTGAGCCAGCAATTAACCCATTTATGCCTGAGGTTGCAATTTTTTGAATATTTGCAATCAGACCTCGGCGATGACATTGAGCAGTAGGATATAAGTAACTCCCACATGCTTCGTGTTCCAGTAATGGAACACTAGCCATAAATAGTTGCCAGGGAAGACATGGAGCTGCAGCTATTGATATGTAATGAAGCTGCTGCTTACATGGGCAACTCTATGGAGCTTATTCCAGGAGGCACAACACCAGGGATTTTAGTTACTAAGGATTAATGCAAATATGATGGTGCTTGGCACCCCCCATTTCTGTTTGGAGCCCGTTACATCCTGCACCCCTTGCTGTCTTGCACTTTCCATCTACAGTCTGCCTCTAGAAACCTGGCAGCTGTCTACCTGGGTTCAGCTTCAGAGCCTGCAGGTAAACTTTGTTCCCCATCCAGCCTCTGCTTCCCTTTAGGCTCAGCTGACCTCTCCCTGATAGCTCCCCTCCAGGAGAGCATTCCCACCTTATTCCTTTATTTTCCTGGATACACTCATGTGGGACTTTTCCTCTAGGAAGGCACTTGTCAGATCTCTGCTTCAGGGGAGGCTGTGACTCCATCCATCTATCCATTCACTGATCGAACAAATATTTGTTGAGTGCCTGTTATGTGTCAGCAACTGTGCTTTGTGCTGGGGATATAGTAGTGAACAAAACAGGCAAAAGCACATACGCTCACATAGCTTACTCTCCAGCTGGTAAGACAGATAATTAACAAACCTAATAAATAAGCGAATGATATGGTGTGTTAGGATGTGTGATAAATGCTATGGCAAAAATAGAGCAGGATGAGGAGGGGGACTTGGAGTTCTGGGGGAAGGGTTGCAGTATACAGTTAATATCACTTTACAAACACTGAATTAATGACCACTGGGCCATTGCTTCTAGGGGAAATACAGGGTTAGGTTCCTGCTAGCCTCTGGTTACAAACTTCTCATCAACTGATAATACATAACTTTGTTTTTTTGAATGTTTCTGCTTAAAGATGCCTTCTTTACCATATGTAGTCAATTCATTCACATTGAACTCATGGCCAACAGCACCATAACTTGTGCTTGAATAAAGCTTTTCTAACACTTGTGTTTTCTCCATAAGGCTCATCACAGCCTTCCAGTACTTAGCAACGCTAGACAGCACTTCATTACTGTGCTTGGGGGTCACTTTTAACAATGAAATCGCCAAAAACACAAAAATGTGAAAAACAAGGCACTAAATAGGTGGTAGAAAGGATACTCCTAGTATGAGAGCTAAAGCATGGAGGTGGCATGGGCCTTGTCGGATCTCACCCAGCTGAGGTCCTCAGCAGCACTTCAGACTTCATTGGGTGATGTACATATTTTGCTGCACAGAACTTGTCTGTGAATGGCCACAAAAGTGCCTCAAGTATTGATTTTAAGGTTACAAATAAATTTTAGTGAGGTGAATTTGCAAATACACAATTTGTGAATAATGAGGATTGAGTGTCAATGAATGATCAGCATAGGCTTCATTGAGAAGGTGATATCTGATGAAGACTTGGAGGAGATTATGGGAGTCATGTGGGTATTTGGAGAAGTGTCCCAGGAAGAAGGTGCAGCCAGTGCCAGAAGTGTGCCCAAAGTGCTCAAGGAATAGCAAGAAGGCCAGTGTGGCTGTCATGGAATATGGAGTGAGCAGGAGAGTGGCAGGAGACGAGGGTGGGGGAGTGGACTTTGTAAGCGATAGTTCATTCTTTGGTTTGTATCTGAGTTAGATGGGGAGATGTGGAAGGGTTTTGAGCTAAGAAGTTTTACAGCACTGTACTGTGTTGAGGCAGAAGCAGTAAACCAGTTAAGAGAGTGCCGGCAGTAATCTATAGCCAAGCCTAGATGTCATCATCTGCTCACCACTAAAAAGAACTCTTCTGTACCTCCTGGTCCCCAAATCATTCCCAGATCACACATAGAGCACAGTTTTTAGAACTCAGCCACCTTTCTGGAACATCTCAAGGAGAGTTAAACTGTGGGATTACAGTACCTGCTGCTGCTGGTGCCTATCTGAAAATGTGCTGCCACTTGAAACTGAACTAATTGAAGCTTTAGTTTCTCTAACGCAATTTTGTACTTTGCATTATTAGCCTTACACGTTCAAATTATTTTAAACACAGGGTGCCAGTAATTAGATAGAAGAATACTCCCTTCATTGTTTGTCTGGATAAAAGGTACGTATGCTTCCTTGCTAAGTTTCAGCTTTCTTTTTTACAACCGTGATCCCAGCCCTTGAAAGCCACATCTCATTCACCTTTACTGGGAAGGGGAATGTGGTTAAATAGATTGCCTGCATGAAGATATTTGTATCGAAGTAGAGAGTGGAAATAATTCACGTCACGTTGCTGTACTGCTATAATGAATACAGAATATACTTTAGGTAATGCATTATTAAAGGCATGCACAGCAGAGCTTCCGTGTATACAGTTTGAGTGTGAGCTTATTAGCATTTCAGGTTGATACCTCTTTAAGATTTAATTAGATTCCAGGCTTCAATCAATTTATTAAATGAATTTCTTGCTGCTTAAAAGGTGTAATGTGTTCATGACAGTAGCTTTTCATCACTCTCTTCTCATTTCCTCATGCACTCAAGCAAATCTCAGCTTCTGTCTTGGATTCAAAGCCAGAGATTATTTTCCAAAGATACTATGCTGTATAAACATAGCCTCTTTTGTGCTTGGGGATATTGGGGCTTTGGGGAGAGTTATTTTTTATCCACACTGTCTGACATGAATGCACTTCTTGTAGATTTACCACCAGTAAATGTAACTAATGCATAATAATAGCACTATCTTCTGTTTCAATGGCCCTTTGTCACTGTGACTCTTTCTACTATTCTTTTGGCACAAAATTCACAAACTTTTATTTCTGTTGCCATGGGGAGAGTGTTGGGACTATTCAAATAGTGGGAAATTAAATACATCAAATCATAGTAGTGATTTGCAAGACAAGCTAGAGAGCTAGACCATAAAGTGCGTAATTTCATGATGTGTTCTGCATTTGTTTAGAAGAGTAGAGAGAACACTTCTCTGAGCCCAGCAAGCGTCCTAACCTTGCCTCTGTCATTAACTGCATGAAAACCCTTAAGTCAGCCGCTGGCTATGATTGCCTCATCTTTGAAGTGGGGCCCTTGGTATCTTGTCATTGGAAGGCAGGGGAGAGGTCTGATCTAGTTCCAGCAGTTTCTTCCAGCTTTAGGTTCTGTGTATTTGTGGGGTAAGGGAGGGTGATGTGAAAATAGATTAGTTTCCATTTATGTCTAATAGCTATCATCTAAATAAAGCCTAAAATGCAAAGTGGAAGAAGTGATATAATTTATTTGATGTAGTTTTAATTTGTGAATGAACTAGGGCCTCAGATTAAAGTCAGTTGTGTCCAGCTCAGCTAAGGAAGTTATTTTTATTATATGGACTGTTTATCTCCTCATGGGTTACATTTTTGAAAGTTCAGTTGGAAAGGAGATTAAAGACCCATCAACCAAGGTAGAATAATATAAGTATAAATACATTTCTGTACTATAAATCTTTCTATAAGGATAAATCGATTTTTGCCACAGAGCAAAAGCTGTGGTCAAAATGCTGTGAATTCACAATTCAGGGAAAAAAATACTAGTTAAGAAGCAGAGCCCAGAGGCAAAATGGGATTGTGACTGATTGACCGGCTCAACTTCAAGGACAATGCTGGTTTTATTTTTGCAAGCCTCAACATGGGCTAGGTTATGTAAGAGGCCTGTGAAATCTTAAAAACTGATTTTCCACCTGCAGATTATTCATGTAAGGAATGCTAAACCCTATTATTAACCCCAAGCCTGATTTCTCACAGAGAATAGAATGGAAAAATGCCTGACTGACATGTAGGTGGAGTTCTAGGATCTTCTTTAATCTGGAAAATGTCCGTAGCCTTTTTTTGTCTTTTATGACATTACAGAGTATAGTTCTCCCTTATTTAATAGAACACTCATAATTTTGAAGTATCCTAATGATGAGATTGATATTATGCATTCTGGGCAGGAATACTACATAAGAAGTGTTATATCCTTGTCAGGGTATGTCATCTGGAGGGACACCATGTCCAACTCTGCCCATTAGAGATGTTAATTTTCATCATCCTGAAGAATGAATTTTGTCTGATTTATCCGCTGTTACCATAGCTACTTTTTTTTTTTTTTGGCCTTGCAGCTAATAAGCAATATATGGAAGACACTTGAAGACCATGCAAATACTCTGCTCTTTGTCAAAATGTCCCCCTAGACTTAGTGTTATGGATTATTTTTGCCTGAGCCAGTTTTACCCTGATGGTTGCAGAATGATTTTCTGACTTTGGCACTTACCAGTGGCACTAGGCATTCTTTTGAAAACATGAGCTCCTTCCCCCAATTTGTTTCTATATTTATTTTCTATATGGATGCACCACTTCCTGTGTTTCAGCAGTTTACAATTCATTACTTAGTTATGTATTTATTTTTTGGTGCTCACATTGTCTCAGTCTTAGCCAATGGGAGCCCCATCAACCTGCTTCTCTGTCCTTGGACATGCCCAAATGGGATTTGAGAAGGATACCTTATATTAATAAACTCTGCCCTGCCAATCACCTTTTTTCCCTCTGTGGTCCCTAAAGTATCCATACATAAATTTGGGGTCATTGCTGGCTATGTGCAGAGTAAGATGAGGTATGGGCTAGAGGTTCATGGGGTCTCTTTGCTCCTCACTGAGCCCAAACTTGAACCTCAGTGTCTTGCCTCGTGTTGAGCGGCTACCAGAAGAACAAGAGAGAGAAGACAGTACATGAGAATATGAATGAGGAAAGAGAAAGAACAGAGCTCAGGCCTCCCCTTCCCCCATGCAGGAGTGGGCTCAAGACCTAGATGGGAGTGAGAATAAGAACACATCTATATACCTGACTTTTTAACATGCCAGCTCCTCCTCCTAGGGTATGCAGCACACAGTGCTACAGTCTGATCACTCTGAGGCAAGTCCTCCTCTCTGTAGACTCAGGGTCAGCCGCAATAGACTTCTTCACTAGTCAGCCCTGGTCAAAGCTATAGCCTTCTTTCTTGTTCTTCATATTTGCTTAAGAACAGGACCCATTTCATCTCTTCCTTGGGTGCTTCCAGCAGAACTGACACACGGACCTCTCCCACCAGCGACTCCTCAGGTCCGGGGGCTGCTTGGATCATGAGGTCTCTATATCAGTCAATTTTCACACCACTGATAAAGACCTACCTGAGACTGGGTAAATTATAAAGAAAAAGAGGTTTAAGATGTACAGTTCCACGTGGCTGGGGAGGCCTCACAATCATGGTGGAAGGTAAGGAGGAGCAAGTCACATCTTAAATGGATGGCAGCAGACAAAGAGAGAATGAGAACCAAGCAAAACAGCCTCCCCTTATCAAACTGTCAGATCTCGTGAGACTCAGTCACCACCATAAGAACAGTATGGGGGAAACTGCCCTCATGATTCAATTTTCTCCCACCGGGTCCCTCCCACAATACATGGAAATTATGGGAGTACTGAGATTTGGGTGGAGACACAGCTAAACCATGTCAGTCTCAGACTGTATGCCCTGTGTTGTCTTGTGTTTCCAAAGGGCGTCTGATAGGTTGTAATATTGGGCCTCAATTTCCTTTAAGCTAAGAGAAGGAATAAGATTAGGATCTGTAAGATCGTCTTCAACTTCAAAACTCTCTAATTCTGAAAATTGAGGCAGGAATTATACGTGCTTGAATTAGTATTCTCACATATTTGCCCTTACTCATCATCCTAAAATTCTGCTATTGTGTGTAGCAAAATGGGCACTTTTCATGGGTTTTCTTCTTTAATAACTTCTTACTACTCCCCTAAATGATCCCTTTTGATAGAAGTGTAATCAGGATGTTAATTAATATATTTGCTAGCTATAACATAAGGACATAAAAACAAAGTATTCTCACAAAAAGGAAATGAATTTGTGTAACAGCCTAGTAAAGGGCATATTTTTGAATTCCTCCTAAGACTACATTAAGCGAATGCTTACCCATAATGAAGCCACTCCAATCAGCTTCTCATTTCTTCTTCATTCATTCTGAAGGATTGTTCTTGAGCTGCTGAAAGTGCTATTCACATTATTAATAATTAGAGCTTTTGTCTAGATGCTGGGTCCCCTTTTCAAGTATTCTGACCATCTGCAGCTCTGTGTACTTACCTGCTAGCCACAGGTAGAACTGATCAAGCATGTGTTCTTTTGAGTGGACAGAGTCCACACCCAGACCTTCAGTGTGGGGGAAGCACAGTGTTTCCTATACGTCAGGCTAACTTCTAAGGTGGTTTATTAATAAGGGACTTGCCCCCAGTATTGACAGTTCATGTCCAATAGTACCTTTTCTATAGTTTGTATACTTACAAAGTCAGGGGCTTCTAAAAACTCAAGAATCAAGAGCATTCATCTCAGGAATCACTGTCATCTAAAATCAAGCCTCTTGATTATCTTCCTATTGGCTTGAGCAATGGGCAGGTAAGTGTCCTCTCCCCTCCATCATTAAATCCTGCACAGGCTGCCAGCCTAAAGGAAAGCTTGATTTGCTGATTATACTGTGGCTTTGAAAGCTGCTTCTGCTCTCTGAAGAATGTGAAAAGGAGGGATAATGAAGTCCCCAGTCACTCTCAACTTAGAGCCATATAATTATTTTAAATTGTTTTCATTGTCTGTTCTTCATACCTGTGATGTGGTTTTTCAGATTTCACTCCTAAGATGTCCAGATCTTGATGCAGAGGCATAGGCAGTAGGAGAGGACGGGCAGGAATGAGTGTTGCCAGGCCATGCATCTGTGTGGCTGTGCAAAGAGCTTAGGATTAGCTCAGACAGCAGAGCAGTAGATATGTGGACAGAGTGAGGAGCTCAGGAGCAAAGGTGAGGACAAAGGAGTTGCAGAACCATGAGGATGTGGTTTAAGGGAGGCCATTCTCAGAATAAGTCAATACTCAAAAATAATGAAAAGTAAGAGGTTTTTTTTTAGCTATGGAAGAGCATAAACATGGTCTCCTGCAGAGCCCCACAATACCTACTTGAGCTTCTCCGTGGACTTCACAGAGAATGGTCTTCAGAGGTATCCAGTTGAAAGACTAGGGTTATTAGTATTCTGAAGGGAAGTTCACAGTGGTTGCTACAGAGTCCCATTCTCTTCCAAATTTGTTTTGACAGCCAGGAAGCATGTGCATGTTTTAATATGTGTTTCTCGTATGACACTGAGAGGTATGGATAATGAATGGCTTGGAAGAATGATCCAGAGATGCTGGTGAAGGGGTTCAGAAGATGTTGCTCCAAAATATGCCACTTTGGCATATTATTTTGAGCTAAAAGAAACTGAGAACCAGCCAACATAGGAAATGTTCTTTTACCTTTCCCTCAGCTGCCTAAAATAAAGTATAAATTTTCCCTTTTATAAAGGAAATTTACATTTATGAAGGAAGTGCTCATTAATGTTCATTAGTAAAGGCATCTGTAGCAGGAAGAAAGCTACCAAGAGACAGCTTTTATCACCTAAGGGACTTTAATCTGCATACCAAGGCAACCTTTATTCACCATCCATTTCCTCTTCTCACCTACCCATAATTTGCCTTCACCATCCCTCAGAAGCCCCAAACCCCTATTCTTCTCTGTAGCTCAGATGATACATTAGTTTCAATCATCTGGCTGCTTCCTCGTGGGATTCCCATGCATCTGTATGTAATTAAAATTATTTTTCCTCTGTTAATCTGTCTTATGTCAATTTGTAGACCAAAGATCCTGAAGGGTGGAAGGAAGCAATTTTTTTCCCCTCTACACTGGAGAATTTGATGCACAGCACAGCAATTTATAACACAGAAGGAAAATCTATAAAGGTCACCTGGCTCTTCTTTCCCCTGCATATCTGCATCACAGATTCCCTCATCTCCTTCAAGTCTTGACTCACATATCACCTTCAAAGTGAGGCTTACCTGGACCATTCTGTTTAAAACTTCAACTGACATCCCCACTCACCCCCTCACTCTCCACTTTTTCTTTTTACTTTTTGCTGTAGCACTTGGCCATTCCCTAACACATGATATGCTCTAGTTATTTATTATACACATAATGGGGGTGAATTGTTGATTGTCTGCCTTTCCCTGTTGGAACAGAAGTTCCATGAGAATGAAGATGTTTTCCCGTTTTATTCACTGATGTACACCAACAGCCCAAACAATGCCTAGCACCCAGTAGCTGTTCAATGATTATTCATTCGATGAATGAATGAATGAAATAAGAGGTAAAACATGGCCAGGCATGGTGGCTAATGCCTATAATCCTAGCACTTTGGGAGGCTGAGGTGGGAGGATCGCTTGAGCCCGGAAGTTTGAGACCAGCCTGGGCAATACAGTGAGACCTTGTCTCTACAGAAAATTTAAAAATGAGTAGAGCTTGGTGGTACACACCTGTAGTCCTAGCTACTCAGGAGGCTGAGGTGGGAGGATCATTTGAGCCCCTGAGGCAGAGATCGCAGTGAGCCAACTGTGGCACTGCACTCCAGCCTGGACAACAGAGTGAGACCTTGTTTCACAAAAAGAAAAATAAGGTAAAACATTCACAGACATAGCAAAGAAGCCAAAATGGGGACCTGGAGGGAACTCATTCTCCGGTTTGGCTTAAGTGAGAAAGGAACTTTCCATACTAAAAAGTGGATAACAGAAGCAATGCTTTGCTGAATGGTTCATGACAAATTCTGTTAATTGAAAAGTCTTAAGTAACGTTCTTTCTACCTGTATGTGTTCATTCAAGATTCCAGCTCATTGACACAAAGTCATTATTTTGATATCATTCATTTAGGGTACAACTTTATTTAAATGCAGTGCAAGTTATTTCTTTAAAATGTGCTGATTTGTAAAATATTGTGTTGTTAGTAAATAGTTCTCTGCTGTCCCTAAACAGCTAGTAGCGGGCGGGGATCAGGGAGTGGGGAGATTAAACTGGAGGGAAGAGAGTTGAAGAAAGTAACTGGAGACAGGGCTAAGCTGGGATTCTTCAGGAGGAGTGACAGAAAAGTCATTCTGAGGCTGTCAGCTTAATGCCATAATTGCCTTACATAATTTAATACATAAATGCTGAATAAACACCAATTAAAGCCTTCATGAGAGAGAAGCAGGCTAATCCAAGGATCTTACTTTGGGCACCTTGACTTGTGCTCATAATTGTCCCCACGTTGTTATTATTTTTGCAGCCTCCTCCAAGTAGCTTGTCAGTTCCCCTTGACCAGGGCCTCTTTTGGTCATGTTCTCTTCCTATTCTATAGCAACTGGCATTTGGTGTTGTCCTGGTAACCATCAACTTCTATGTTTGCATTTCTTATTTGGAGCTTGAAAAGCTGAGGTTGTAGGTTAGGCTTCCTACATGCTGACCATCTGTGAATCTGGGAAAACTGCCCATGACCTTCTTAAGCAGAGCACATACCTTTGGATACATGCCTTTAGTGAAAGAGGAGCTCAGGAGAATCTGCAGATGCTCACCCTATATCACTTCCAGGTATGCATCCCCCACAGCCCACAGTCCCAGTCCTTTGTGAAGGCCATAACAACATTTATGATTATTTCAGATCAGTTGAGTGGGCTTGTCTGTAGGAGGCATAGTCCTCAACGACTTTTACATCTTAACATAGAGCAGCTATTAACTGCTGAGATATAGAAGGAAGCAAAGAATTTAGTGAGCCCATTTGAGTTAAAAAAGAAAAAAAAGTAACTGTAAAATTCCTCAATTGTTTTTAGATCTGTTAACCAGTATCATGTCCTCTGGATTAGCCCAAGTTTGGCATCTGAGCTTTGCTCCCTGATGTCTGATGAAGTGGTCTGGACTCCAGGCTCATAGGCTGCCAAGGCCTTCAAGTCATGGAGTGGGACCAAGTAATGGTGTAGAAGAGGGGAGAGAAAGAGGCTTGTTAAATCAGGGAATAACTCTGGCCTTTAACACATTCTAAAGAGAGGAAAGATATCTCTGAGCATCTCATACATTTCTGCCACCAGCATATCTTCTCTACCAGAAATAATGACCACACATGGATATGAATGGAGTGATGTCTCTACTGATTTCCTTGGTTCTCCCCATTTGAAGTTGAAATGACCTTACTTAGACTTGGTTCCTGGGAGAATTCTCTAGGGGAGAGGGACAGGAAAGCTGAAGCTCAAAAATCAAACCTAAACATTTTCTTGTTCACCCAAGAGGTGATACTGATATTCTGGCCAAATCAAACACCTTAGCAAACTTCCCAGGTTTGAAATCCCCATGTGTCCTCAGGCAAATGAGATTATTGAGATTATTAATCAAAACTAATGTTTTCACAAAGGGAACGAAAGACATACCTGCTGACCTGATGGTGGCATCACACCAGAACTTGAAATTGAAGCCTGTGGCATTTAACCTGGGTGTCATGTCTTACTTTTTGTCAAATGTAAACTCACTAATAGGAAAAGAGACTTTCACTCAAGTGAAAGTTTTCTGCTAAGAAAACCATTCCAAAGTAGAGATTTTTACTTTTCAAGTAGAAAAATGTTTCAACTATGAAATTGCAAAAACATTCTTTTACACCAGAAGACAAAAATAACACATTGTAAGGAGCATAGGAAAAAAAATCCATATGGAAAAAGTTGAAACAGCCAATATGTGTTTAAGAGTCTCCATTATGCAGCCATCTCACATAAACTGTCTGAAGACACCATTTTTGTGAGACACACACACACACATAGTGTGTGTGTGTGTGTGTGTGTCTGTGTGTCTGCTGGATTGAAAGTGGGAAGAAATGGTGGAGGGGCAGTGATTTATGTGCTGCTAAGTCCTCTGAGACCCTAGTCGGTGTGGTTCAAGCCTGATTCAAGCCTCTCAAGCTGAGCTTTGCAGGCCCATCACCATCTCTCGGAACTGGCCTCCCACCTCACTCTTGAGCCCTCTCCCTCTGTGCTGTCACAAATGCTGAGTGAAATTTTTCTAGAAGATAAATAAGTCTCTATCCAGTCATTGCTCTGCCTAACACCCGTGGCTCCCTAGTGCCTTAGGATAAACTGCAAACTCCTATGAGGAGCAAGTTCAGAGAGCTGGTGGGAAGGCAGTAGTTACGACTTTGAGCCGTGAAACTGTGCTTCCTGGGTTAGGACCTTGTTCATCTACTTACCAGCGGAGAACCCTTGGGCAAGTTATTATTTCTTTGGTTTTCAGCTTCTTCATCTGTAAAAGTGGGATAATAGTACAACCTTGACAGTGTTGTTGAGAGCATTAAATGAGTTCTAACACATACTAAACACCTAATAAAGATTCACTTATTGTGATTACTTATATTCTGCTCCCAGTTTGCTTCTGCCCCTATTCTTCAGTCACACCCAGCTACTTGCAGAGCTCTTCCCTACCGGCATTCACCTAATGGACCATATTTCTTTGTCTGTATTTAGCTTTTTTGTTTGTTTGTTTGAGATGGAGTCTCACTCTGTCGTCCAGGGTGGAGTGCAGTGGCCCGATCTCAGCTCACTGCAACCTCCACCTCCTGGGTTCAAGCAGTTCTCCTGCCTCAGCCTCCCAAGTAGCTGGGACTATAGATGCACACCACCATGCTTGGCTAATTTTTGTATTTTTAGTAGAGACAGGATTTTACCATGTTGGCCAGACTGGTCTTGAACTCCTGACCTCAGGCAATCTGCCTGCCTCGGCCTCCCAAAGTGCTGGGATTATGGGTGTGAGCCACTGCACCTGGCCCTGTCTTTAGTTCCTATAAGCTACTTTCTCTGCCTAGAAAGTAATCACACACACGTACCCACCTGCATCCTCTACATCCATCTTCTACATCCTCCCACTAACTCTTTCTTAACCTTCAAAGTTCAGCTTAGGTCAAGACTCTTTTACTCTGAACAGCCTACCAGATATCACTCTATTTTAGAGGCTCCTGTAGCTCCAGTTCATCTTTCTCTCCTACCATTTATGATACAGCACAATAATGGTCTGTTTACTTGTAGTTCTTCTCCCAGTAAACATTCCCTCACTCCCCAAGCCCCATGAAAGAGGGATTGTATCTTGATCATTTCTATATATCTCCTGCCTGTATATTGTGTGCTCATAAATGCTGCATGCATGAGTGGATGGTTAGATGGGGGGAGGCATGGATGAGTGAAGGCACTTTGAGAGATACTACCAAAGTAGAATGTGTCTAACGTGGTTGTAATGGTTAGGGGTTTGGAAACCTATTTGATTAAGAAATAGGTCAAATATTTGAGAAATACCCATGCTCTGTGAAAGAAGTCATGGGTAGGAGAGGGTTTAAAGAGCTGTCTTTGGATATATAAATGGCTAGAGTGTACACTTACTTATTCTGTATTGTTTAACATGGCAGAACCATGACCAAGACTGGGATGAAAGATACAGGCCAGTCTCAGCTCAAAATAAGGAATATAATTTTAATAAAGGGATTTCATTTTAGTAGCAACTGGCTAGGTTATAGCAAAACTCTGCACCAAAAGAAAGCTAGACTAAATGATCTCTGAATTCTACTCTGTGCATTAGTTTTTGTCTTCTTCCTGTCAGTGGATGGGTTCAGATGCCAAATGTCTTATCAGCCTTTCGGGATCTCATTTCTTAGAGGGCTACTGGGCTCCAATTCTTAAATAGTTCCCTTTTCCCTTTTCAGCCTGTGTACCCTCATTTTTCTACTAATGCCTTCAAAGTTTACAAAATATCAGCAGTTGAAAGGATCAAGTACTTTGATTCTAGTTCAGCCAACCATCTGAATATTTGTTTTCCTTTATAACACCCTACACAGTGCTAAGTTTGCAACTTTTAGTCATCCAAGCAGAGACAGTAAAAAAGCAGGGAGATCTATGGGTCTTATGGTAGTCAAGATTTTCCAGAGAAACAGAATCAATAGGTTGCACTCACATGTATGTATGTGCATGTATATATACATACATATTTATATATATTTATTCATTTTAAATAATTGGCAAATTCAAACTCTGCAGGGCAGGCTGGCAGACTGAAGAGCCAGGGAAGAGTTGATGTTCTACTTTTGAATCAAAGGTAGTCTGCAGACAGAATTACTTCCTCTTTGGGGTCCTCGGTCTTTTCTCTTAAGGCCTTCAACTGACTGAATAAGGCCCACCCACATTATGGAGGGTAATCTGCTTTATTCCAGGTCTACTGATTTAAATGTTCATCATATTTTGAAAATACCTTACCTGCAACATTTATACTGGTGTTTGACCAAACAACTGGTACCATAGACTAGACTAGTTGACACATAAAATTAATCATCCCAGGTCTGGAGTATGAGAGAGAGGTCAAAGCTAGAAATACAAATTTGGGAGTCTTGAGCATATAGGTAGCACTTAAAATGTTGAGACTGGGTGCGGAGGTTGCCAAAATGATCTAGTGACGGGAAACGTCTCAAGGCGGCCCATTTGGTTACAGTCATAATTGAGCTGAAATCCACCTGAAAACCCTGTTTTCTGGTTCATTACTTACCCATATTAAACTTACCGGTTCCTTGCATCACCACCTCAAATGGTATTCTTTCACATCCCCACCTCAGCCTGGTTGTTATCATCAGACATGTCTTTCTTTGTCAATCTGTCTTTAAAGTAGGCACTTGAAATTGAGGGTGACCTTCCAGGTGTGGTCTGATGAACACAAGACATGCTCAATTCTTTTGTTCTTCTATTGAAGCAGATAAATATTAGAATTTGGTTGGAGGGAGGTGGGTTAGAATACTGTTGATTCATTGAGCTCACTCTTGGCTTAAAGGCTAAATCTCAATCTGCTTCTGCAATATCACCTTGTCTCTATCCTACATGTGCAGTGCTTTGTAGTCCATAGTAAAGACTTGGGCTGTTCCTCTGAGTGAAGTGGGGAACAATTGTAGCATTAAGTAGAGGAGTGATGTGTCTTGGGTCTTTAAAGGATCATTCTGGCTGCTCTGTTGAGAATGGCTTTTTGGGAGCAAGGGGAACCTTTTAGGAGGCTATTGAAGTGGAAGTGGTGAGAAGTCATCAGATTCTGGATATATCTCAAAGTAGAGCTAACAGGCTCTGCTGATGGGATTGGATGTCAGCGTTACAGAGTCAAATATGACTGCAGGGTTTTTAGCCTCAGCCGCTGGTAGGATGGAGTTGCCATCAACTGAGATAGGGAAGGCTACCGGAGGAGGAGATGCAAGTGGGGAGATCAGGAGTTCAGTTTGAAATAGCTTTTTTTTTTTTTTTTTTTTTTTTTTTGAGACAGAGTTTGCTCTTTTTTCCCAGGCTGGAGTGCAATGGTGCAGTCTTGGCTCACTGCAACCTCTGCCTCCCAGGTTCAAGTGATTCTCCTGCCTCAGCCTTCTGAGTAGCTGGGATTACAGGTGTGTGCACCACCATGCCTGGCTAATTTTTTGTTTTTGGTAGAGACAGGGTTTCACCATGTTGGCCAGGCTGGTCTCAAACTCCTGACCTCAGGCTATCCGCCTGCCTCTGCTCCCAAAGTGCTGGGATTCCAGGCATGAGCCACTGTGCCCGGCGTGAAATTGCTTTTTGACATCCGAGTAGAGTTATTTAAAAAGTAAGGAGATGTATGGCTCTGGACTGCAGGAAAGAGCCCTGAGCTGGGACTCCCAATTTGGGAGTCTTTAGCATAGGTAGCACTTAAAACCCAGAGACTGGATAGTACGACTGCCAAGGGCATGAGTACACAGAGGAGAGAAGAGGACCAAGGACCAATGAGCCCTGTCTCTCCAGCAGTGAGAGGCTGGAATCAGCAAAGGCACCTGAGAAGGAGCAGCCAGTGAGTTACCAGGAAAACCAAGACAACGTGGGGTCCTAGGGACTCAGTGAAAATCAAGGAGGATATCTATGTAATAGATTATAAACTTTATATATAGTATAGAATATTTTATACATCTATAATATATAATACATGCTTAATATATATTTTCCATAAAGATTTTATATAAATTATAATATATTACAAAATTTATATAATAGATGACTTCTGGGGAAATACAGCAAAGGTGGCTTAGTGGAAAGGGCACCAGGAATCAGAAGGCCTGAGGGCTGGGCTCAGTTCTGTTGGTCTTAGTTCTTTAACTTTAGGCGTGTTAAATAGCCTTTTTCAAGCAACATTTTTGACTCATCGGGAAAGTAGAGATTTTAATCCTTTCTTTACTCTCAGTTATTGCAAGAATCAATTGAAGTAATAGATATGGATATGGTTTGTTAGCAATAAAGATCCTGTCCTCCCTCCTTCTCCCTCTTTCTCTATGTATGTATAAATGTATGTATAGAAGGAATTCCAGATATTTGTTACAACTAATGCCTATTGGACCATTCAGATTATGACCTATTGTAGGTCATAATCATTTTAGTGGGTTTCAGGCAACATTTGAAAATGGAATAAGACCAAACGTGGTGGCTCACGCCTGTAATCCCAGTGCTTTGGGTGGCCGAGGCGGGCAGATCGCCTGAGGTCAGGAGTTCAAGACCAGCCTGGCCAACATGGTGAAACTCCATCTCTGCTAAAAATACAAAAGCCAGATGGGTATGGTGGTGCATGCCTGTAATCCCAGCTACTTGGGAGTCTGAGGCAGGAGGAGAATCACTTGAACCTAGGAGGCAGAGGTTGCAGTGAACCAAGATCACACCACTGCATTCCAGCCTGGGCAACAGAGTCAAACTCTATCTCAAAAAAAAAAAAAAAAAAAAGAAAAAGAAAATGGAGTAGAAAATATCAGTATTCATGGGTTAGAAAGAGTAAAGTTTTTTTTTTTTTTGAATCTTTTTAGTTATATACTTGCGTTAGTTATCAAATTACTCCCACACTTAGTAGTTTAAAACAATAAGCATTTGTTATTTAGAGGGGTGATGTCAGCCAGGGCTGCAGTCATCTGAAGGCCTCGCTGGGCTGATCCTCTTCCAGGCCTATGCCTGTGGCTGTTGGCAGGAGGCCTCAGCGTCTCACCACATAGGCCTTTCCTTAGGGCTACTCATGACATCTTTGCTGGTTTCTACCAGAACACATGACCTAAGACAGAACAAGAGAGTGCCCCCAAGACAGAAGATGCAGTATCAGATCAAAAGTAAGAGTATCAGATCAAAAGTAATCAACTCTGATTCTCTTCTCTTCTGTTAGTCACATCTAGCGATCCTGTTACTGCATGAGAGGGACTTTACAAGAGTATAAAGGTTGGGAGGTGGGGATTGTCCAGGGCCATCATGGAGACTGGCCATCACAACTTCTATAACTGGGTTGAGTTATAAGATACATCTTTAAATGTGGGTCATGTGAGAAAGTGTTTAAGAAACACTGCTGTACAGTGTCTAATACTGTGCACCATTAGGCAGAGGTGTACATTAGCTAGCAGAAGCCCATTTAGGAAGCTCTGCTGTTGATGCTCTCTACACCCATGGTTAATTAGCTGTGACTTTAAGATCGTGAATATGAACACCAGTGACTTTTACAGTGAAGCAAGATAATGGAAGTCTTACCGGGCTATGGGGGACTGTTTGTCCTTAACTGAATTGAGCCTGTACTAATGTCCTTTCAGAATCCTTCTGTCTGATTTCTGTAGTTCTATACCTTTTACCTATCTGGTCATCTGCCAAGTATATCTGCTGGTGGTGGGTTCTCACTTCAAATCTGTGGCCATATTTTATGTACAACTGTGTGGCTTGTTTCTTACAGAATATGTTACAGGGGTTTGTGATAGCAGTTATACTTTTAGCTGATCTTTCTGCCTGTTTATTCTTCTTATGAGTGTGGTCTGAGTAATGAGCTTATGGGAAATTCTACCTGGAGATAAATGGGGTATAATTAAACTTTTATATCTTGAGAATAGGGATTATTAGAAACATAAAGGTATGCCCTACTTAAAGGAATCTTGTAGAATAATTACAGACATGATTTGTGTAATATAATTTGATATATTCCCTGGTGTGAAAACAAATCTGTTTTAGCTCTCCTAGCCAATATTTTTTGTGTTGACTAGTGTAAATGACTGAAAAATAACAAATTATTTTTGAAGTGCTAATAGATCCTAAGCAGGCTAGAAGTCTCTAGTTAAACAGTTAAAAGACCAGTAGAAAACACAACACAAAGTAAAAACATATGGCCTCGGGTTCTTAACTTGAAACTGTGGCAGTTTCAAACTGGAGTCATTTCTTGATATAAAGTGAGCCCTACTAATTAATTGGAAAGGAACTATTCTACAAGAAAGTTTCTTGGTTTGATGTTGACTGTTTGCTCTTCACACTCCTACTACTTGTCAGCCCTGCAGCCACAGGTCTTCTCTGGCTTAAGATTTTACACCTGAGGGCTTCTCTCTATCTTCCAGTCACAGTGGAGGATTGGAGGATGTGCTGTTTTCAGTGGGCTCGCAGGTCTGTAGAGGCCCATTTGTTCTCGAAGAGTTGCTGCTGCTGGAATGCTGGGCTGACTCTAATTTTTTTTTTTTTTTTTGAGACAGAGTCTGGCTCTGTTGCCCAGGCTGGAGTGCAGTGGCGCAATCTTGACTCACTGCAACCTCCACCTCCCTGGTTCAAGCAATTCTCCTGCCTCAGCCTCCAGAGTAGCTGGGACTACAGGCATGCACCATCACGCCCAGCTAATTTTTATATTTTTAGTAGAGGCTAATGTTGGCCAGGATGGTCTCGATCTCTTGACCTTGTGATCCGCCCGCCTTGGCCTCCCAAAATGCTGGGATTACAGGCATGAGCCACCGAGCCCGGCCATAATTTTTTATTTATGTATCAGTTGACCCCCTAAGCTATCAACTTCTGTGGTCAGGGACTGTCCATCCCTGTACCTGACAGCATTTGGCTCATGGGAGAAGCTCAGTAAATGTAAAGAAATTACATTTTTTATTCTCTTGCATGGATTTATGTCCAGAAGAACAAGGTTTGGGGTACAATATGCAAATGATACTACTTTTCTTAGTGTTTCTATTAAATGTAGTAAATTTTAATTTTCCTCGAAGTACGTGAAACTTAAAAATTTAAATGTTGAGACAACAGTATGATTCTTATTTCTTGAATTAAGATTGATTTTTAAAAATCTATTAAAAATCCCTGTAGCATTTTTGGTAACATTCAGTGGGAGAGGAATTTAGTTTTTATAACACAGATAGGGACCACTGGTAGCTTGAGTGAGCAGGTTGAGAACCACTCAGCTAGAGAACACTGAATGCCCCTTTATGTTCTCACCTGTGCATATCCCTGAAGACCTGGCAACATTATCAGTCAGCTTTATGAAGTGACATCTTCTCTGTCCAGAATGCTGTCTGAGCAATGGGTGGCTACTGAAGGTGTTGTAGGCCTGGCCCACTCACCCGGCTTTAGTATTAATTATAACTAGGAAAAACAAAAGCAACTGTTGGCATAGTGGATTATGAAAGGCCAGGCACTCTTTTATATGTATTGCTTCCTTGCCTTGCAGTCTGTTTTTTTTTTTCTTTTTTTTTTTTTTTGAGACGGAGTCTCGCTCTGTGGCCATGCTAGAGTCAGTGGTGCGATCTCAGCTCACTGCAACCTCCATCTCCTGGGTTCAAGTGATTCTCCTGCCTCAGCCTCCTGAGTATCTGGGATTATAGGTGCCCATGACCGTGCCTGGCTAATTTTTGTATTTTTGGTAGAGACCAGGTTTCACCATGTTGGCCAGGATGGTCTCAATCTCTTGACCTCATGATCTGCCCGCCTCAGCCTCTCAAAGTGCTGGGATTACAGGCATGAACCACCACACCCAGCCCTTGCAGTTTATTTTTATTTTTCCTTGCAGCCTCTGCTGTGCGAATCAGCCTATACCCTGCTTAGTCCTGAGAAGACCATCTGTATCACACTGCCTTGAACCTCAAGCCTCAAGCTGTGACAGAGCCCTGCAGAACTCCATCCTCATCCATGTCCCTCTGGTCTCTGCTTCCCATTCCCCACACCTGCCTATGCTGCATTGTGACATTGACAGTTCACAAATTGTGGCTCCTTAATTTTTTTCTTCTGGACTTCAGTAAAAATAATTTGATGGAAAGCTATGGAAGTGGCCGGGTGTCATGGCTCACGCCTGTAATCCCAACACTTTGGGAGGCCAAAGTGGGCAGATCACTTGAGGCCAGGAATTCAAGACCAGCCTGGCCAACATGGTGAAACCCCATCTCTACTAAAAATACAAAAAAATTAGCTGGGCATGGTGATGCATGCCTTTAGTTAGTCCCAGCTACTCGGGAGGCTGAAGCATGAGAATCCTTGGAACCCAGGAGTTGGGGGTTGCAGTGGGCTGGGATTGTGCCACTGCACTCCAACCTGGGTGACAAAGAGAGACTTTCTCTCTCAAAAAAAAAAAAAATTATGGAAGGGAAAATAGCCATATTCACTTAGATTAGCTCAGCCACTTAAGTGAAAGAGATGCCCAAGGAGACACTTAGACATTTTGCTGGTAATTAGTAAGCCTAGGAGAGGCGGCTGCAAAGAGTAGGAGAGCTTGTTGTTTTAAAACCCTGAAACTCTACTTATATCTTAGTCAAGTAGGGAATAAATAATCAAATGGGAATTCTTAAAGCTCCAATATATCATGAGCATGAGAATAAAACTGAGAAAGGAAAGGACACAAATTAGAATGAGAATGATAATAAAGTCAAATACATTTTCAAAATTTGTAAGTATCATTTTTAGATATAATGACTGTTGTCTTTTGAGTCCTGGTTATGGCAAAAAGTCTTTTGTTTCAATATAAAAGGAGGGAAAGCCTGTGTACCTCATTCCAGTTAAGCAACTTTTCAAAGCAGTTGGGTTTGGGTTACCAACAGGGGCAAGGCCAAATGTTCAACTATTCTGAGAGGTGAAACTAGATCCTTGAAGGGATCATGTGATGTCTACTTTTCAAACCATAACGAACAGATTCATCAAACACATGTCATGAATAATCACTTGTTGTGATGATGTATTCACAAACTGCTGAAGGGTAGAATGAGGTTTTAATAAGATGACCGATTATAAAAATATACATGCAGGAAGATGCTCAGCTTTTAAGATTGTATTAATAATAGCCTTATATTAGTTTTGTGTTGAATTCTTGTGACCTGCTGGCACCTTTTTGGTAAGTATTGACTCATTTAATTACCCAGCTCCCAGAAGTCAACCCTTAGAAGCCTAACCTAATTTCTTTTGTTTCCTGAAGCTCTGGGTATCTTGGGTGCAGTTTACTCTATAAGCAGATGCTGAATCCGCTGTCTGTACGTAATTTTTGGGGCATCATGGAGAGGAGGTGTAAGTCATATATCCTTGTTCTCTGTTTGGAGATACTCAGTAGTGTGGTTGTCAAGGGCAACCTGGGCAGAAAGATCAGCAGGGCTCTGTGGTTCCATTAGGGATGTAGACTTCTCTCCTCTTAATCTTGCTGCTTTTGGTTGCCTTCTGGGCATCATTACTGAAGTGCTACTTGGAAGAAAGAAGAGAACATTTGTCAGCATCTCCTGTGGCCCTGGAGCCAGCTCCCCTTATCAGTCACCAACTCAAGTGATGTTCTGTGGGGACTGTTGCCAGTTGGCTTCCACAGTGAGGATCCTAAACACTATGGAATTGACATATTACCTGGGAAGTACCTCCCACACCAGGCTGTCCAACTTCTTTTTCTGCAAAGCCCAGCTAGAGCATCAGCTCCTCTGGGAAGCCCTTCCTGCGCGCCTCTCCTGCCCTCCCCCATGCTGGTAAAATGTAAACACCAGCTCAAGACCTCTCACAGCACCTCATGCTTATCTCTTCTTTGGCATTTGTCCCTTTGTTCTGGATTCATTGCATCACTTATGTTTCCTCCACCAGACTGAATGCTGGAGGACCACACTCTGCTTTGTTCAGTTTTATTTTTCTAGCCTCTAATGCCATGCCTGGCACATAGTAGGCACTTTAAATATTCATTAAATGGATTTCTTTGCCATTCTTATTTTGGCCCATAGACTCTGTTGCCCCAACCTCTGCCCTTTGCAGATGCTTGAAATCTCCTGGCACATCTGTTTCTGTCCTATCTCCTCCCCGTTCTCCCTTTTGCCGCAGCAGCTTTGCCCTGCTTCATCGGTTGCATTGGAGTTTGGGCAGGAAAATAGAAACCACTCAAGATATTTTGGGTGGCAAGGATTAACTACAGGGAAGTGGAGGCACACAAAACTCATAGAGGGGTGGTGGAGTGGAGGGTTGGAAGGCTGTTGGAAGCTGCTGCTGCTGATCTTGGCTGCCTGCAGCACCAAAGTGGGGTCTCAAGAGTCCCTCACTGCAGAAGCAGCTAACAAAACCCATGTCTGCAATCTGCTGACGTCCACAGTCCTGTCCCCAGCTGCTCCTGGGGAAAAATGGCTTTTCTTTCTTTTTTCCCTTCAGTTCTTATGAGAGTGCCTCTCATTGGGAGAACTGAATCAGAAGTCAGCTGAAAAGGGAATCTGGAAAGTGCTAGTTCATAGGCATTTCACCTCTGAGGTACAGGCCAGTGCTTAGAAGGAAGGAATGTCCACACACAAAAACTGGCACATCAAGAACACTGCCTTGCTTCATCCGAGACCTTCTCCCTGAGCTGCCTACCCCCACCCTTTTTTTTTAAACAAAGCTCTGACCATCTTATTGGATGCCTTAATTTTGTTAATATGTGGGAACCCTCATCCTTAGTCCTATTCCAGCAATTAGCAACCCCTCTGCCTATATTTTAGGTCTCCTCTATTCTTCTTCTTTTTTTTTTTTTTTAAGTGGAATGTTATTATATTTTGCTTATCAGCGGTTCATTGTTTTTAAGAATTAAATCTTTCCGGCCAGGCACGGTGGCTCACGCCTGTAATCCCAGCAGTTTGGGAGGCCGAGGTGGGTGGATCACGAGGTCAGGAGATAGAGACCATCCTGGCTAACACAGTAAAACCCCATTTCTACTAAAAATACAAAAAATTAGCCGGGAGTGGTGGTGGGCGCCTGTAGTCCCAGCTACTTGGGAGGCTGAGGCAGGAGAATGGCATGAACCCGGGAGGCAGAGCTTGCAGTGAGGTGAGATTGCATCACTGCCCTCCAGCCTGGGCAAAAGAGCAAGACTCAGTCTCAAAAAAAAAAAAAAAAAAATCTTTCCTAGTCCAGAAATTATAAGCATAATCTTTTGAAAAGTATATCTCATTTAATTTATAGTACATATGTCATTTGAAAATCGCTGAATTTTTAGTGAGGCAATCTGAGTTTAAGTTAAAATCAGGTCCCTTATTGGCCGCATAATTGTGGGAAAATCATTGAATCATGCATTCATGCATTTACATATTTATCAGGCTTGTACTAAGTGCTAAGAGCCAGGCTCTGTTAGGTACCATTGGCTGTTAAATGCCTGTAATATACAATCCCTATTTTCCTTATAGTTTGTTAAGAAATGTTTGTGATGATGCTTTGTAAATTTAAAGTTCTACTGAAGTACTAATTATTATTTTCTTAATAGACAACAACTTATAAATTCATGTTTAGAATTACTTTAACAGAATTTATTGTAGTTATAATAGGTCAGCAAAGTGGTATCATGGTCATATTAAGGCACAACACCTGGAGTGAATCAGCCTCAATTTTTTTTTTCTTTCTTGCTGTCTATATACTCAAGATTTAATTTAGCTTATACTGTGTACTCAATATACTGTCTATATACTGAAGATATTTTTTTTTTTTTGAGACGGTCTCCCTCTGTCACCCAGGCTGGAGTGCAGTGGCACAATCCTGGCCCACTGCAACCTCCTGGGTTCAGGTGATTCTCATGCCTCAGCCTCCCGAGTAGCTAGGACTACAGGCATGTGCCATGACACCCAGCTAATTTTTGTATTTTTGGTAGAGACAGGGTTTCGCCATGTTGGCCAGGCTGGTCTCGAACTCCTGGCCTAAAGTGATTTGTCCACTTTGGCCTTCCAAAGTGCTGGGATTACAGGCATGAGCCACTATGTATTCAATATTTAATTTTACTTAGCCTGACTGCCTTGCCCATGCTCCTAGCAAGGCAGGGGTGAGGTTTAATTGTCCTACTAGAACAGGACACAGTAGGTGAGAGGTAAGTCCCCAAAGGAAGCCAGGCTTTCCCTCAGAACCAACAAGCAAACAAGCAAAACCAACAAATGCCCACATGTAACTCCTATCTACTTTTCTCTCATCTGATGACTTTGCTTTATACTCTTGAAAATTTTCTCTCCACCAAATCACTGCCATTTGCATTCATCATCTTCTAAATCTTCTGTACCTATCACCTGGTACAATGGAAGACTTTCCCCCAAATGAACAAACACCAACCTTGTTTGTTTCATCTTTGTTTGGTGACTGTGGTTCCTCTTCTCCTTCAGGACATAACTCTTCCTCATTAGAGTTATCCACACCGGGTAGTGTCCTCCTCTCCTTCTCATCCTCTCTTCACTTGGCTCTAGTCTGGCTTCCATTTCCCCCACTCAATGAAGCTACTCCTCAAAGTTGCCGGTGACCTTTCATTTGGCAAATGTGTCCAACAGACATTTTTACATGAAGAGATAAAAAGCAAGATGAATTTAGACCCTTATACACACCCCACGCAAAAAAATTAACTCAAAGTAGATCATGAACTTTAAGTGCTAAACTATGAAACTTTTAGAAGAAAACATAGAAAATTTTCAAGATCTTGGGTTAAGCAAAGATGTCTTAGATATAACACCAAAAGCATGATCCACAATAAGAAAAACATCAATCAATTGGATTTTTGAAATTCAAAACTTTTGTGCTTCAAAGACATTTTCAGAAAATGAAAAGATAAGCTATAGGTTGAGAGAAAATATTTGCAAATTACACATCCAATAAAGGACTTGTTTCCAGAATACTTACAAGGGTAGGAACTTTTCTTGTTCATTGCTGTATCCTAAGCATCTCTTGTAGCTCTATTGAGCATCTAGAAGGTACTCGATAAATATTTCCTGGATAATTATAGCATTAATATAGTTTGGAGAATACTCTGTTAGGATTCTTAATGACGTCTAAGGAGGAGAGAAAACAATCTTGAAAATTTGTAGAATGTTTTTGAAGCATTTGTACCTACTACATTTATTCCCTTTTCTGCTCTTGGTATCATTGTATCCATGCCACAGTTAAGAAAACAAGGCCATGGAGGGATTAACTTTTTGCCTGTGGTCAAATGCTGTTACGTGGTAGAGCCAGAATCCAGATCTCGAATTTCTAATTCTACATTCAGTGCATCATGATTTCCACTGCTGTTGGGGAGATGTCTTCACTCCTGAGCTGATGATGCCTGGAACTGGTGCCTTCTCACCTTTCCTTCAGCAGTGTGAAATGCCCAGATCTCAAGCTTGTGGGCCATTTTCCCAGACCCTCCTTCCTGATGATCTGATGGCAGACACACTTGTCTGATCCATAAGAGCATGTCATGTGGTAACTCAGGACTGTTTTCACCGTGTTTGTTCTGAGGAGTTTGTCCTCCCAGGGCTTGTTTTCTACTTTTCTATCAGACCTTGGTATTTCACAAAACGTGTTTGACTGCCAACTGGGATCATGCTAGTCTAAGTGTCTAAGTTTATTTTCACTTCACTTCTCACTATGTTCCCGGCGTAGCTTTTTATTCTTTTTTTTTTTTTTTTTTGAGACGGAGTCTCGCTCTGTTGCCTAGGCTGGAGTGCAGTGGTGTGATCTCAACTCCAACAACCACCTCCTGGGTTCAAGCGATTGTCCTGCCTCAGTCTCCCAAATAGCTGGGACTACAGGTGCCCACCACTACACCCGGCTAATTTTTGTATTTTTAGTAGAGACGGGGTTTCACCATGTTGGCCAGGCTGTTCTTGAACTCCTGACCTCAGGTGATACACCCGCCTCGGCCTCCCAAAGTGCTGGGATTACAGGCATGAACCACCATGCCTGGCCCAACTTTTTATTCTTGACTGTGAGCAGGTTGAGACGTAGGTTAACAGATGGAGCTGAAGATGGTATGATATGGTGCCAGTTACTATGTGATGTCATCAGGAAGCCTATTCTAAGAATTGTGCCTCAGGCATCCTTAGAAAATAAAGATGTTGCTTGAGACTGAGAGGAGGGCAGCATTGGGACACTTTGAACAAAAAGCTGGGGTCTAGGGGGCCTGGTCGATCAGCCTCAGCTCTGCTGTTTGTTGTATTTCAATTATTTCATATTCCTTATTCTCTGCTTCCGAATTAGTCAAGTGAGGAGGAGGTTAGGGCAGATACACTTTCAGGTCTTGTCTGCTCTCCAAAATTGGGTTAGGTAGGCCAGCTGAACTAATCAGGGCTTCTTGAGTCTAGGTATAAACTTTATCACCCTAGCGATGTGCTTTGGTTTTTGCCCCCAGCTGTGCAAATTAGTTCTCAAACTTCCCAGACAGGAATGTAAAGGCTGAACTCAGGCAGCCTATTAATAGGCTAAACAAGCGTAGTGATAAAAGACTGAAGTTTGCAAATGGGAGAGGTGGAGGCAAGGATTGACAGCTAAATTTTGGTACATTGTCTACATGCTGCCCTGCCTGTGTCATGCTAAGTGGCCATGACAACAGTGGTTCTAAAACATACCTCAGTTGTATGGTATTTGCCACTCCTGGCCATAGTCTGTTGCTGTTTTTATCCCTAGCTTCCACCCAGCCGAGATTAGTCTGGGAGGAAGGACAGTACCCCAAAGGGCAGGCAGCCTGTTAGAGCAGAACAAGTCCTGGAACTGGCCATGGGTTCTGGTCTGAGTTCTGCCATGGACACGGTGTGTGGGCCCCACCCCTCCTCCGTCAAAGAAGCAGTTCTAAGCTAGGTGATATACAAACCTCTGTGCTCTGTGAGTAAGCATATGGGCAGCACCACTTTGTCAGGCCCAACAAGCCTAATTTTGATGCACTGTGAGGCTCTAATGAGTACAGCAGTCATAATCATCATAAATAAACTGCCAGGGCTGCCCTGGATGTGTTAGCCCGGGCACAGTCTACTAATTTGCTAATGGTAATCAGACAGGAGCTGCTGCTGTGGGAGGGAGCATTCATACTTAGAGATGCTGCCTGAAAGTGCCTGAAACACGAACTTGGAAACTTGAGGCTTAAAGGAATCTTAAAGGTCATCCATTCCAGTTTTTTTATCTCAAGCTGAAATCTGCCTCCCCATGGCTGCTATCAGTTGATGTGCAGACAGCAAAACTTGCATATCATACACACAAGATTTTCTGTTTTTAATTTCTGGAAGGAGCTAAGAATAATATGTACAGGATCCGTGTTCCTTATGTCTCCTCATGAGGAAACCCTGGTTTTCTGTGGGCTGGTTAGTTGTGAGACTATTTCCTTAAAAGGTGATAAGAATGATTGTGCTATAGTTTGATCACTATCTTATTTCAGAAGAGAACCCCTATTTTTATCTGTGGGTATTTATTTTATGTACTTACATAAAATAATCAGTGTATTAAATAACTACTTTTTAGCCTCTTCTATGTGCAGTGTATGATGCTAAGTGCCAGAGCAGACAGAAGCATTGGTACCTTATTACAGGCCTATCATTCACACATTGCTTCACTCAACGACATTTATTGCTTTCCGGAAGGCTCTGGTTCTTGCCCTTATGAAGTTTTTGGTCTGTTGTGGGAGAGAATGATTGATTAGTTATCAGTCACACTGCATTGAAATTATTGTTGACTTTGCCATCCCTTTAGGCTCTATTCTCCCTGAAGCAGAGGTTATGTGCTGTGCATTACTGAATTTCCAGTATCTAGCACAGAATGGGCACATAGTAAATATTTGTTAAATGAGTCTGTGGTTGAATATATGAAGGAAAAAGCACAGACATTGGTGTCTGCTCTGAGCTAGATCCTGATTCAGCATTTACTAGTCATGAGACTGGGAATAAAGACACAAGCCTTTATAAAATAGGACCTATTTCACAGGGTTGTGGTGAAGATTAAAAATTGAGAATATACAGAGTGCTTAGCCCAGTGTTTGGCATATACTTCTAAGAAAACAATGTGTATTCTTTTCCTACTGTAGCTCCTTAAGGTGCTTTTTCCATCTGTATACAAAAACTAAAGAAAACATTTTTCTTTTTTCTTTTTTTTTTTTTTTTTTTGAGACGGAGTCTTGCTTTGTCGCCCAGGCTGGAGTGCAGTGGTGCAATCTCGGCTCACTGTAACCTCCGCCTCCTGGGTTCAAGTGATTCTCCTGCCTCAGCCTCCCTAGCAGCTGGGATTACAGGCACCCAACACCACGCCTGGCTAATTTTTGTATTTTTAGTAGAAACAGGGTTTCATCATTTTGGCCGGGCTGGTCTTGAACTCTTGACCTTGTGATCTACCTGCCTTGGCCTCCCAAAGTGCTGGGATTACAGGCGTGAGCTACCGCACCTGGCCATGAGAATATATTTCTAGAGTTCATTGCATTGCTAGTGTTTTGAAATTAAAGATGGCCCTACAAGGGAGGCCCCACCCCTGAACTCTTTGGAAGGAACATGAGTTAGGTTTACCATGGTAAAGAGGAAATCCATACTATACATTTCAAAATCACTGATGGAGTAAATTTCAAATATTCTAATGACAAAAAATTTGAGGTGATGGATATATTAATTAGCTTGATTTAATCATTCCACATTATGTTAAAAAATCATAGCATGGCCGGGCATGGTGGCTCATGCCTGTAATCTCAGCACTTTGGGAGGCCAAGGCGAGTTGATCACGAGGTCAGGAGATCAAGACCATTCTGGCTCACATGGTGAAACCCCATCTCTACTAAAAATACAAAAAATTAGCCAGGTATGGTGGCATGCACCTGTAATCTCAGCTGCTCGGGAGGCTGAGGCAAGAGAATTGCTTGAACCTGGGAGGTGGAGGTTGCAGCGAGCCGAGATCATGCCACTGCACTCCAGCCTGGGTGACAGAGTGAGACTCCTTCTCAAAAAAAAAAAAAAAAAAAGTCCTAGCATCACTTCGTACCCCATAAATACATACAACTATAATTTGTCACTATGTAATAATAATGATAATAGAAGAATGAACTCATGATTCTGAAGAAGCTGCAAAAGCCCGCAAATTCTGGTAACATGGAACTAGACCTCTGGTTGGGTAGACCACAGTTTTCTTTTGGATAGAGTCACTTTCTCATATGATACTTAATAAAATTATTAAGTAATGATGAAATAACATTTTTAAAATATCACATAAATTTAAATAACAGTTTATAGTTTTAAATATGTTTGGTTTATTTTTTTCTAATGGGAACAGGATGAAAAGGCATATACATTCTTTAAGCCAAACCTTTAGCGTCGTATCAAATATGTTGCCTGACTTATTGGTGGTGGAGTTGGTAAGATTAAGATAATGGCTCTTATGAAGAGCAGCTTTATGAACCACTTCATTCTTCCAGCCAGTAAGATAGCTATCACTGGTTTTATCATGTGGTCTTGATTTTCATTTTATATATGTTCACTCATTTACAGCTCAAAAACAAAATATATGAGGAAAAACTAATCCGAGTTATAGAAATTAGATTCTGATTTTAGGATGCACTGTTAATTTCTCTCTATACACAAAAAACATGAACTTGTTTGCTTTTCTTTTGCAAGGAGTGTGCTTTTTATCTTTCATTTTTAAAATGTTGAAATAATCTTAAACTCACAAACATTAGAAGCACAGTACCTATGTAACATTTTCCCCCTGAATTATTTGAGATTAGGTTGTGGACATGAAGCATCATCACTCTGAGTACTTCAGCGTATGCTTCTAAGGACACTTTCCTATGTACTAGGTTGGTGCAAAAGTAATTGTGGGTTTTGTCATTACTGTCAATGGCAAAGACCACATGCAATTACTTTTGCACCAACTGAATAACTGCAATATGCAGATTGAATATCCCTTACTTGAAATGCTGGGGACCAGAAATCAGTGTTTTGGATTTCGAGCTTTACAGATTTTGGAATATTTGCAATTATACTAGTTGAGCATCTCAAATTTAAAAATCCAAAATCTGAAGGTGCTCTCATGAGCATTTTTATGAGTGTCTCATTGGTGCTCAAAAAGTTTTAGATTTTGGAGCATTTCAGATTTCAGATTTTTGGATTTGGGATACTCAGCCCTCTAATAACAAAACTCAGGAAGTTAAGGTTGGTGCATTCCTACCATTTATTCCTCAAAACCAAGGTACTGTTCCCTGGGGGGTCTTCTGGCTAATGGAGACTGTCTGGGCTCAGGTGTTAGTTTTACCCCTAACTAACAATCACTTAACCTCTCTATGCTTCTGTTTCTTCCTCTGTGGTGCAGATGATAATAGTATCTATCTACCTCATAGGGTTATTGCAAAAATAATTGTATGTGTGTAGAATGGATGAGTGCCTGGCACATGCTAAGCACTGTGTGTGTGTGTTGGCTTTTACTATTAACATCCCCCCTTCTCCACTCTGTGTGTGCTGCACTGTGCCTGCATGGTGAGAAACTATAACCCTTTACTCTCCACTAACCTCGCCTGCCTTTCTCACATGATCCAAGGAAAGTGAGAGGCAGCATTAAATTAAAGCTTGTGTATATTCTACTCATATCTTGTAGTCATTGCAAAGGCTCTTATATTTACAGGTGATTTTTAAAAAACCTGCTCTTTGTCCCACCTCTGGAGTTAGAATTAGTTCTCAGATACATTCATCCTTTCATGCATTGGGTGTCTATACAGAATTGTCATTGGGAAGTATTTTCAAAGCCCTAAGATGTGCTTTGCAAAGGAAATCTTTCAGGGCTGTAAGAATGGATAATTTCCTGGCTATTAGTTGAATAAGAAAGACATATTTTGCCTTTCAGAGATTGTTATATTTTATAATGCAGAAATGGTTTTGAATATATTTAGTTTTTAAATTTTCAGTAGGTGGTGTGCTAAAGCTTAGTGTCCTTAGCTAGGTCTCATGTTACAAGTAGAGGAGGAGATGGGAGAGGGAATTGGTTTGGCTGGCCACCATTTCTATGAGGAAGGGCACCTGGAAATGGAAAGAAATGAATTGACTACCACATCACCCCCGGAGGCCATGGCTAGGTTGAATGAGAATGATGGTGTTGGCATGAGTTGGATGAACCTTATTTTTTAAAAACTGATAGCCATCCAGACACAAAAGCACAAATACTGTATGACTCTGCTTACGTGAACTTCCATCACTTTCCAGAGCCTGGCTAGCTGAGACGGAGGAGGTGGGCGGCACCTGGGGAGAAGCAGGTGGGCTTCCCTGGAGCAGGGCAGCCATGCTGGGAGAAGCAGAAATGAGGTGGAAGTGGGAAGACATCAGCTTTTAACATGAACCATCATTTTCAATTAGTAATAATGAAAGGCAGTGAGAACCCTGCTTTTAGCAGGGTGCTTGGGAAGAGCAAGTAATTCGTGCATTTTAGGGTTCAGTTTGATTTCCAGCTTTTTTTCTACTGGCTGTCAGCTCTGGGCATACCAGTACCTGCCTCACCAGCATGTATATGTGAGCACAAAACATAGTACTTGCCACATTCTAAACAATAAATATAATTTCTCATTATTAGGTTTTTCATTACTGTTTCAGTGCCTTCCTCTGACCCCACTATATACTGCGGATCTCTGTGATTTCTTCCATGTCTGCTTTGTCCTGTGATTCCCGGAATAGAGTCTGTTGGTCTCTGTCGCTAATGTAATTGAAAAGGCTCTACAAGCTTTGGATGAGTGAAGGAAGCTGAAATCTTTGTTTTAATCTACACATACTTCTACCTCCCATATTATAGATCTGGCAACCTTAAAATTGCTGTCTGTGGTGTGGATATTTATTTATGGGGCTGAACAAAGTAGCCTTGGTTTTGGTTGAGAGAAGAGATCATTTCTATTTTTAAAAAATTTGTGTTAAATATAATTTTAGGAAGAACTTAGCATCTTATCCAGGTCAATGTAAAATCAAATGAAACACATCAGCTCTCCCTACAGGTAGATCTCTCCTTAGAGAAGAGCTCTGTGCAGAAGACTTATGAATAAGTGGAATTTATATATCTCGAATCCCGTTTTTCCTGAATTATGTAATTATTTTAGGTCAGTGATGTAGTAAATGAGGTCTGTCATGTTTTGGCTTTGAGTTTCTTTATTCTCACCTATGCTGTGTCCATTGTCTGTAAAGAGATACTTAAGCACATAAAATAATCTTGTCATTTAAAGGTGTCCCACAGGGAATCTTAGTGTCAGTAATCACCTGTCATATGTCAGGTGGCGAGGTACCAGGCATGATGGGATGTTCCAGGGATGAGTCAAGGGTGTCGCCGGAAGCTAGGGACAGGCAGGGTCTGGACAGGCGTCAGACCCCCCCTCGAGGGTGAATTCCTGTGTCCATTACCTCTTGTCTGAAAGGGACAGAATTAACTCAGGCCCTACTCAGTCAGATGGCCAACCCAAGAGGCGAGACTGGTGGGTGGGATGCAACCACCACCCGTTAGGTGTTGGGAGCAGTGATTCTGCCTGGGGGACTATATCATCATGATTCTGGCCGCCTGGTCTTTTTTTTTTTTTTTTTTTTTTTTTTTGAGATGGAGTCTCACTCTGTCGCCCAGGCTGGAGTGCAGTGGTGTGATCTCGGCTCACTGAAAGCTCCGCCTCCTGGGTTCACGCCATTCTCCTGCTTCAGCCTCCTGACTAAGTGAGACTTCACTGGCCACCTGGTCTTCTTACTCACAGTCCGACCCAAAGGGAGAGAAGGGCACTGGCTACATGATCAGAGGTTCAGGAGGAACAAGCATGCTAGTTAGAGAAACCAAGGCAGTGTCGTTTATATGGACTGTACCAGTTTCGTGGTGTCAGGAAAAGGCTGTGACTTAAAGGGTCTGCCATAGCCCAGCGCTATGGGATGCCTGGTGTGAGCCTCAAGCACAAAGTCAGGCTCCCCAGCTAGCGCATGGAGTTGCAGCTCTTCAAATCCCCTGCTCAGGGCAGACCCAGAGATGGGACAGGGTTGTTCTCTCAGGTGGAAAGCTCCAGGACTACAACTAGGTGGGGCTTGGAAGGCCAAGGTTGACCCTCCACTCACTGCCACACCAGCCTCTCCCTGCCCCACCCCCCCTCACCTGCTTCCCTTTGGCTAGTGTGGTGTTGGGCTTTTGAAACATATTTCGGGCTGAGTGCGGTGGCTCACACCTGTAATCCCAGCACTTTGGGAGGCTGAGGTGGGAGGATTGCTTGAGCCCATGAGTTTGAGACAACCCTGGGTAATATAGACTATGTCTCTACTAAAAAAATTAAATATTAGCCAGGCGTGGTGATGCACACCTGTAGTCACAGCTACTCTGGGGGCTGAGGTGGGAGGATTGGTTTAACCCAGGGGGTTGAGGCTGCAGTAAATGTGATCGCACCGCTGCACTTCAGCCTGGGTGACAAAGGAAGACCTTGTCTCAAAAAAAAAAAAAAAAAAAACCCATATATATGTGTGTGTGTGTATATACATATATATATTTTAAGTGAACATCTGAGACACGAATATTACAAACGGACTCATATATTGGAAAAGTGGAAGGTACCTGGGAGATCTCCTCTCATGGCCTATATTTCTAGAGAGAGCTTACACTTGCTGAGACACTTACGCTACTAGAGAGCAGTGTTTCTGCACCAGAATCTCCTGGAGAGCTTGTTAAGTTTAATTGCCGGGCTCCTTCCCCAGAATTTTGGAATTGGTATGTCTGAGGTGGGGCCTGAGAAGCTGCGATTCCAACAAGTTCCCAGGAATGCTGCTGCTCCAGCAGCCACATCTTGAGAACTACTGTGGTAGAGCAATCCATTTAGTCATACTATGAATTTAAATTATAAATATAGTTGTCTAGTCTACCATTACTATAAATATCTTTTATTGATATGCTTGTCTATGTCTCTTTTGAACAGGTATTTTGATGTTGGACTGCATAATTTCTTAATCAGGTAAGCCAATAATTTTTATTTTAGATAACATTGAATAACATGTCTATTATGAAAGATTGAAATGGAAAATCTTTGTTAAGTATCTTGATAAATAATGGCACTTATATATATACTTGTCAAGAAAACATTGCTAACACTATGGTTTTTTCTGTTTCCCAGAATCACACGATTAAACAATTAAAGAAATCAATGTTTAAAGAGGCTTATTTCTGAAGTGATAGTTACCTAAGATCTTGACAAGTATAATTCCAACTACTAGGCTGCTGGGAAAACTAATTGAAAAATTAGGAGTGCCAGCTTGTATTCAGACGTTAAACAACCCCCTTAACCAATTTTCCCTCCACTGAATTTAATCTTTTTAAGTGGAATCTTCCAGTTGCTTTATAGTTGTGAAGATACAACCTTGTTCATAATTGAAAGAGATTACAGATGGCAGTTTATATCCTAGTTTATTAATGATTTTTACCAGAGTTGGCTTATGGGACATATTAATTTCAAATAGCTGTTAAATGTAACAGAGGTTAAATGGAAATAGACCAGCATATTAATCATAGTTTTAAGAATATGCATATTTTGTCTGCTATCAACTTTGCTGTGTTTTCTAAATGTATTAATATTGAGCATGTATTACTCTAATACTGGTAAATAATGATCGTTAAAATGCTTGTCAGAAATATTGAGGGAAGCAGAAATGGTTGCCGAAAGACTGCAAGCTAAAGATGACAAGGAAACCAGAAATTATGTAGAGCGATTTGCTTTCTGCAGGTATGCATCTCTAAATGCTAGTTAATTCTGACTAATAGCCTGATAATGAACAGTCTGTAGACTCCATGTGATTTTTGGGTAAGTGTTATGGTGGTTCTTTTCTGTACAATGCATGGCCATCTCCCTATTGGTAAGATGCTCTTTGAGAGGAAGTGTACATAATTGACATCACCTTTATCCCCACCAAAAACCACATTTCCTCCACACTGGATATGGTGATGTTCCGAGTGAGGCCATGCATACCTTGTCCTCTTTGACCTCTTTTCCAAGGCTCATCCAAGTCTGCACAATGAAATCTCCTCGGCCTCCCCCATACTCAAGGAATAAGGATGGTCCTGGCTTTCTCCAGGATCCAGACACAGATAGTAGTGTGTGAACTGCTATCTTCGACACAGCAAGGATAAATACATTTTAGCAGGAGGGACAAAGAACCAGCAGTCATGGGAAAGCAGGCATGAACATTCCATATTTGAACTGATCAGAAGAATCTGTCTGGATGTATTAATACTTCAGGGAGTAGTTCGAGTTTTTTATTTAATGTCTTTGGTGCTTTGTACAACTCCCATTGTACTGTTCCCTTAATGCCTTGTAGTGGATGCAAGTTTGTACTCTTCTTATTTTTTCTAGTAAATTTATTGAGGTCAGCGATCATGTCTTAGTCACCTATCAATGATTAGATTCAGAAACTTGTATAGGATCAACCTTCAACAAACATTAGGGCTAGGAGGGAATGAATGAGATGAGACAGAAAGGACAAGGGGGGTGAGGCAGGTTGAGAAAAAGCTGTACAGTCATTTATTCAGCAAATAACTTAAGCCTACCATGTCCACTTACTTGGATATGTCTGGGAATGCTGTCACTTGCAAAAACAGACATTTGATTTGAAGCTTTCCATGTGTTTATCCCTTGCCAGGCCTGTAGTTAGAGAGAGCAGTGGTCTGCCTTTGCGATCCCTCTTCTCTTTCCTTCTGGGCTCCAACCATTCCTCCTATGTTGGGTCTGGAGGAAGGAGAGGCAGTGGTCAAGTGTCTCTAATGTGACTGAGACTGGTATCCCCTTGCTCTGGCAGGAGGCCCTTTTGGGCAGGTGCTGGAAGATGCTCTAACTGGTCACCTTAACCAGTGTTCTGTGAAGCAAGCAGAACTGGGAGGGTAAGGCTTCTCTCTACCTTGCTGTGCTGTATTCTGTGTTTCCTTTCCCTCATTCAGGTAGGGGGCAGAGTAAATCAGCAGGTTTATTGCTTATCCAACTGGGGAATGAGAAGTCAGTTTTGCAGGCATCCCTAGCCTCTGGGAGTAGATCTCTTCCTCTCCCATCACATGACAGTGCGCCCCAACAAGCAAACAACTTAATGACTCCAAGGAGTCCCTTCATCTTTCCTCTTCCCAGCTTGGGAGTAAGGGGTAGGGGTGTTAAAGATGGTGGCTGGGAGCAGAGTCAGTTCTCCATCTCACAGTAATCCCAGAATGGGGTGGATCTCACCTCTTTATTTGTAGCTCTCTTCAGAAAGTGAGTATTTTCAGGCCAGGCACGGTGGCTCACGCCTGTAATCCCAGCACTTTGGGAGGCTGAGGCAGGTGGATCATGAGGTCAGGAGATCGAGACCATCCTGGCTAACACGGTGAAACCCTGTCTCTACTAAAAATACAAAAAAATTAGCCGGGCATGGTGGCGGGCTCCTGTAGTCCCAGCTACTCGGGAGGCTGAGGCAGGAGAATGGCATGAACCTGGGAGGCAGAGCTTGCAGTGAGCTGAGATTGCGCCACTGCACTCCAGCCTGGGCGATACAGCGAGACTCCGTCTCAAAAAAAAAAAAAAAAAAAAGTATTTTCAGCCAGGTGCAGTGGCTCATGCCTGTAATCCCAGCACTTTGGGAGGCCAAGGCAGGCAGATCACTTGAAGCCAGGAATTCAAGGCCAGCCTGGGCAATATGAAAAAAAATAGTGCCTCTACTAAAAATACAAAAATTAGCCAGGCGTGGTGACACACACCTGTAATCACAGCTACTTGGGTGGATGAGGCATGAGGATCACTTGAACCCAGAAGGCCAAAGCTGCAGTGAGCCGAGATGGGGCCACTATACTCCAGCCTGGGTGACAGAGTAAGACTCTGTCTCAAAAGAAAAAGAAAAAAAAAGGTATTTTCTGCCCCCAGCTTGGGAGGGAAGTCAAACCTGATGGGACCCAGCACCATTTATGACTGGACACCTTAGTAAGAACTGTTTCACTGGGACAGTGACCCTGAGGCTAGGTTGAAGACGGTGGGGTTAGCAGTGAGGGAATGGCAGCAGCAGCTCCTTTAAGAAGATAAGCTGTGAAGGGGAAGAAAGAAAGACAGGGCAGCTGGTGGAGAGGGCGGGTGGAGTGGATATTTTTTTCTTTTTAATGGGATGAACTCTTGTATTTAGCCACCAGAAGGTCTTAAGTGTCCTTTAGACTTAGAGAAAGCAGTTTCATTTAGGTGGAGAGAAGTAGAGCCTGATTCCTAGGGGGAGTGAGTGGTCCCTTAGTAACCTCAGACAGCAATGGCATTTTCTTGTAAATATGTCATTAGAGAAAACCTTAGAGGGTTGGAAGAGTGAGAGGGATGGTACTTAAGGAATCCTTCTCACTCTATAATGGACAAGAGAAGAAAATATACTTCCCTTTGTAAAAGAGCAAATGTGGGAGAAATTGTCATACGTTCCCCACACCCCCTCAAGATTAACTACATTTATTAGCTCCAACAAGCTCTTAATGTGCAGTTTGGTTTGTCAGGCTGTATTGAATGCTTAGTGTTTGGCATAAAAAAAAAAAGCTGCAGCATGCCCTGAAATTAATCAGCTGCATCTTTTAAATTGATGGAAGTCATGTCGACTTCTCTGGAATGACGTAAATTTCCACAAAGCCAAGAGCCCTATCTTTGATCTCAGACTAGGCATTTGCAAGGAGGGACATGCTTCCTTTTAAGCCTTGGAGTGCTCCACTGAGCCATGGGGGCAGGAAAGAGCTGTCACATTTAATGAAATGTGGGCACTGTTGATATTAGTGTTTTGTGATGACTGTGGGAAAATTCAGTGAGCCCAGTCCTGCATCTTATAGAAATCATAGACAGAAGCAGCAATCACAACTCACCTAGGGATGGCCTCAGAAGAAGCCTACTGGCTGGAGTTCTTAAATGTGACACCGCACAAGAAAAGGTGACCAACCTGGGGAAAGAGATTACAGAATAAAAATCTCTGTTTCATTATAGATAACAGGGTGGCTTGTTTAAATTTAGCTTAGTTTAGCTTTGGCAAGAAAGTAAGTGATTTTGGTTTGATTCTTGCTGACTGAGGCATTTTTCTTTTATTTTTCTTTCTTCTTTTATCTTTGAATAGATATGGGGTTTTGCCATGTTTCCCAGACTGGTCTTGAACTCATGAGCTCAAGCGATCCTCCCGCAGTGCTGGGATTACAGGTGTGAGCTACTGCACCTGGCCAGCACTTTTCATCTTACTCAGAATTGTAGCCAGCACTGTCTCTTTTAAGACAAAGGTGTACATGTGGTCTCACTTATATGTGGAATTTAAAAAAATTGAACTCATGGAAACAGTAGAATGGTAGCTACCAAGGTCTGGGAGTAGGGACTGAAGAAATGTCAAGGAATACACAATTTCAGTTAGAGAGGAGAAGGAAGTTCAAGAGCTCTATTGTATCATAGGGTGACAATAGCTAATAATGATGTTTTCTTGAAAATTGCTAAGACAGGAGATTTTAGGCTTTCTCACCACAAAAAAGATAAATATAGGAAGAAATGCATGTGTTAATTAGCTTGATTTAACCATTTCACAATGTAAAAGTATTTCAAAACATGTTGTACACCATAAATATATACAATTTTTGTCAGTTAAAAAATAATATTTTAAAAACGATGAATGATACTTGTTTTGTTGCCTCCCCCACCTCTGACTGCTCCTATCTGACCTCCTCAGGTGGGGCAGTAGTTTTCAGCAGGATAACATCATGAGCAGGATAACATCATGACTTTAAAAAAAATTGACACACTGTATTTATATTTATGGGGTACAATTTGACGTTTTGATGTATCTATGTTGTATAATGATCAAATCAGGTTAGTTAGCATATTGGTCATCTCATACATTTATTATTTGTGGTGAGAACATCCAAAAGCCTCTCTTCTAACTATTTGGTAATATACAATACCTTACTGTTAACCATTGTCACTCTACTGTGCAATCGGACACCAGAACTTACTCTTCCTATCTAATTGAAACTTTGTACCCCTTTGCCAGCCTCTCCCTATCCTCCCCTCTCTACCCCCTCTATGGTAACCACTGTTTTATTCTCTGTTACTGTGTTATGAATTTTTTTAAGCTTCCACATATCAGTGAGATCATGTGGTATTTGTCTTAGTTTGTCTGGATCTTCTCAGTTAACATGACGTCCTCCAGATCAATCCACGTTGTCACAAATAACAGGATTTCATTCTTTTTTATGGCTGCATAGTATTCCATTGAGTTGCCAAAATCAAATAAAATATAGAGATGAATCTCTAAATTTAAAACATTTTATTTGGCCCCAGGCACGGTGGCTCGCACCTGTAATCCCAGCACTTTGGGAGGCTGAATCGGGTAGATCACTTGAGGCCAGGAGTTTGAGACCAGCCTGGCCAACATGGCAAAATCCCATCTCTACTGAAAATACAAATATTAGCCGGGTATGGTAGTGCACGCCTATAATCCTAGCTACTTGGGAGGCTGAGGCATGAGAATCTTTTGAACCTGGGAGGCGGAGGTTGCAGTGAGCTGAGATCATACTACTGCACTCCAGCCCTGGGTGACAGAGCAAGACACCGTCTCAAAAACAAACATTTGGGAAGCAAGAAGTTTCAATTCAGGGCATACATACAGACCAGGTGGTCTTCCGTATGTCCAGAGAACAAATAGAAAGTTGGGAGTTTTATTAGAAAGAGAAATGTTATGTATTGTTTTGAAAGAAAGCTCATTGGCACTAGAGAGGCTTTTGAGAGATGGTAAGCTCTGATTGGTGACTGATGATGGTAAATAAAACCAGTGTTAGAGTCTTGGGAGGTCATTTCAGCAGCTACTAGGTAAAACTGGTCTTAGGGTTACAGCAGTCTGTTTTAGCACCTGAGCTTGTGGAACATTTAACTCTTGGAACAGGTGCTATGTGTCCCTAGTGCTTTTCTTCCTTGGCCCCTCAACTCTGATTTAGTTGGGTATGACAAGAGTGACCCAATTTGTATAATTAACTTTCACAGTGTGTATATGCCACATTTTCTCTATCTGTGCATCTGTTGTTGGACACTTGAGTTGATTCCATCTCTTGGCTATTGTCAATAGTGCTGCAGTAAACATGGGAGTGCAGATATTTCTTCAATATACTGATGTTCTTTCCTCTGGACATATACCCAGTAGTGGGATTGCAGGATCATACAGTAGTTTGGTTCTTAATTTTTTGAGGAACCTCCAAACTGTTTTCCAAAGTGGCTGTACTAATTTACATTGTCACCAACAGTGTGCAATGTAAAGAGTTCCTTTATCTGCACATCCTTGCCAACAATTTTCTTTGCTTTTTTTTTTTTTTTTTTGAGGCAGGGTCTCCCTCTGTCACCCAGGCTGGAGTGCAGTGGCGTGATCATGGCTCACTGCAGCCTCAACCTCCTGGACTCAAGCAATCCGCCTACCTTAGCCTCCAGGTAGCTGGGGCTACAGGCATATACCACCATGCCCAGCAATTTTTTTTGTTTTTTGGTAGAGACAAGGTCCTACTGTGTTGTCCAGGCTGCTTTTGAACTCCTGAGCTCAAGCGATTCTCCTGCCTTGGCCTCCCAAAGTGATGGGGTTAAAGGTGTGAGCCACCACACTTGGCTTTTTTTTTTTTTTTTGTCTTTTTGGTAATAGCTATTCCAACTGGGGTGGGGTGGTATCTCATTGTGGTTTTGATTTGCATTTCCATGATGATGGGTGATGTTGAGTATCTTTTCATATACCTGTTGGCCATTTGTATATCTTCCTTTGAGAAATGTCTATTAAAGTCTTCAGCTCATTTTAAAACCCTTTGTTTTTTTGTTTTTTTGAGACGGAGTCTCACTCTATCACCCAGACTGGAGTGCAATGGCGTGATCTCAGCTCACTGTAACCTCTGCCTCCTGGATTCAAGTGATTCTCCTGCCTCAGCCTCCTGAGTAGCTGGGATTACAGGCACCCACCACCATGCCCTGCTAATTTTTTGTATTTTTAGTAGAGACAGGGTTTCACTGTGTTGGCCAGGCTGGTCTCGAACTCCTGACCTCGTGATCCACCCACCTCAGCCTCCCAAAGTGCTGGGATTATAGGCATGAGCCACTGCGCCTGACCCATTCTGTCTTTTAATTGGGGAATTTAATCCATTTACATTCAGGATTACTATTGATAAGTAAGGACTTACTCCTGCCATTTTGTTAATTGTTTTTCAGTGGTTTTGTAGATTTTTTTTCCTTTTTTCCTCTCACTTTTTTTCGCTCTGGTTTGGTGGTTTTCTGTGTTGCCAAGCTTTGTTTGTTTTTTATCTTTCTCATTTGTGTATCTGCTGTAATTTCTTTGTGGTTACTATGGGACTAACAAAGAGTGCTGTAGTTATAATAGAATTTTTAAAGCTGATAACAACTTAACTTTGGGCATATGACTTTTAAAGGAGTACCTGATACCATCCTCCTCCCATTGTCTCTGAAACATTAAATTTGTCAATTTATAATTTTTATTGCTCTTTAGGTTACAGATTTAAAATCAGAAAAGTATTCACCTGAATTTTGTTTTCTATATTATTTATATGTATCTCTTCAATTAATTTCAAATACATATTTTGAATAAGAATCTAGCTTTTAAAAAAATAGCAAGATAAATTTTCTTTATCGTCACTTTTCGTATTTACTCCAGAGACCATGTGTGAGTTCATCAGAGCCACTACTTTTGTCCTAAGGAGAATGTCTTGATATCCTCTCAGGACTAGTGGAAATGCAAAGTATGGAAATCATTCCACTGATACTTCTTAGGCAAATAGAACAAGGCAGTGAACCTCTGGCATGGCCCTGAAGCTATTTGAGAAGATCTCTGGAGATCTTAATGTAGTCCTTAATATAGTCCTTAGAAGATAATTTTTTTCCACAAATAGATTTTGCATATTAGAATGGTGTTCAATATAGCACATATTCAGTTCATACAAATGCCAACATTTATATGAAATAGTGTGTGCCCTTTTGAAGCATGATTTTGTTCTGATGAGAGAGAAGGTAGAACATGACAGCTGTTCACTGCTTGTAGTGTCTTTTATTCTCCTGGAGGTTGGTGCAGGTTTTCCATGAAGTCTCAAATATCTTTGAATGGCCAGAAGGGCAGCAAATTTCTGCAGTATGGGAGTTGGTGGCTTGCTGAATTCTGAAATGATTATAAATGATATTACCTGCTTTTGGGTTTTCCTTGTTGATACCCTATACCTGACCCTTTCGTAAAATTAGCCCTACAGCAGAACAGAATTATTATTTGGGCTAAAAATCATTGGCATTTTGAGTTTTGTGAATGACAGGGTAATTTTTAGCTTTCTTTATATTGGATACCACAAGTCTATCACCACATTTGCTGTAGTTAATTGTAACATTCCTGGTATTGATGAAGAAGTCTGCTCACCATCATTTGAAGTGTTTCTTGGATGGTGTGGTGTCTGAAATGTTCAAAAAATCTGCCTTGCCTCTTTAAGAAGCAAGGTGGTCAAATGAAGGATTAATTGAGGCTTACCCACTCCCTCTGAGAAGGAAGAGAGCTGGAGATGAGCCACTCTTTTTTTGGTGTCCCCTTAGGACCGTTTAGACCTTTTTGGGCTCTGAGCTGCACTGGAAACAGAAGTTAAGGAGAGAGGTGCACATTTGATCCTGGAAGTAAGACCCAGATGGTAATGGGAAGTTAATTAGCATCTGTATTCAGTCTTGCAGTTTAGAACCAGCTAAAACACATGCATGTTCTCTGTCCACCAGGAAAGAAAGATGAAGCCATTATGGATGTATTTTTAAACACAGAGGTGATAACTCAGAGGCAAAAATACTTGCTTTGTTATGTAGGATTTTAAACTTTGTATTTTGTAAGTGTAACATAAAGGTTGATTTCTGTTTAAACAGTTTTTAATAGTGATATAAAAAGTGAATGACCTTATTAAAACACTGCTTCCACCTGAGGTGAGTCTAAAGTGTGTGTCTTTGTGGCCCTAATTAGGCATTGTCGATCATCTTTTAGTGGCATCCAGAGGTGAGAAATGACACCTGGGAGGAGTCCCCAGGTATCTTTTATCCCTGCCTGATGAAAACTCATCTCCTTTGAAGTGACTGCAGTATCAGTTTCTTTTAAACTTTTCTTTGATTCCACCAGAAAGAAGCTAAGGATCTGTGTGGTGTTCTTGTACTAAAGTGTTTTAAATAAAAAGTGAAGAACATGTAAGTGAAGAGACCCGGGTAACCAAAATAGGCCCCAAAGAGGCAATTAATGAAAATTCAGGCAGGGTGCTGGAGAGAAGTCCACTGGCTCCCATGGGGCTGGGTCCCCCCTTCCATCGTTGCTCCTGCACCCAGTCATTTTCCAAATTGCACTGGCTTTGTCTTCTTAACATCTCTCACATCCACCCCTTCCTTTCTGTTTCTGGAGGAAAAGAATAAGACGCACCGTTGTCTGTGAACTGGGCTTCTTATCTCACAGAGCTGTGATGAAGTTTAATAGTATATGCTAATCACTCAGCCCTGTGCCTGGAAATGATGGAAACTCAAGGCTAGTTTTATCTCCTTGCCCCCCACCCCCCAATCCCACTATACCTCTGGAATCAGAGTAACAGGATTCGAATCCTGGCACGCTCTCTTTCTACCCATAACTTTAGATAACTCATGAAACCTTTCTAAGACCTTGACTACTTATCTGTAAATTGGAAATCACAATTTCTGGCTCAAGAAATTGCTTGCCAGGCTTGAATGGGATGAAGTGTGTCAAAAGTGTTTTAGGGGCCATAACACTCCATGCAGATGTTAGTTATTACTCTGGTCGTCATTTTCTTTCCGACCAGGTTGTCCGAGCCTCTTCCCAGTCCCCTCACCTTTCATGGCTTTTCTTTGACTTTGCTTATGGCCATCCATCAGTCTCACAGAAACCCAGCCCTGATGCTTCCCCTCCCTCCTCAGAACCAGACTTTATACAACCCCGTGTCCTGGGCCCACCACAGTGGGTCTTCAGGCTACCTTTCCATCTCATCTCACCATTATTCCCCTTGTGCCACTGCCACTTGGGACCAAATGCTGTTTTTTGCCCCTACCTCACCATCTCCTAGCATCTTTGTTCCCTATACCAGAAGTGCCTGAGCTTCTCCCATTAGTGCATATCCAAATCCCACCCATCTCAGTCCATCTCAGATGCTGCCTTCTCTGTGCAGCCTTCCTCTCTCTACCTCGATAACACTGCCTCCCAAGCCTCCTGGATCCTGGGAATCTTCCTGGATGCTTTAGATCCCCAAGCTCTACTTCTGGGGATTGGGCTAAGTGGATTTGGGTAGAGTCCAGGAATCAGTATAATTGTGAATCACTCCCAGTGACTCTGATGCTCAGGGGACTTTGGGACCCCTGCTTTAAATATAGCTTGTGTGTGTGTGTGCGCGCGCACACGTGCGCATGTGTGTTGCAGCCCCCTCCCAGGTAGTGAGCAGGGTCTGACTCATCTGGATCTTCTGCGTAGTACCCCACAACGTCTAATGTCTAGAGGGCTCCTAAACATGTTTAGATAAACTTTATTTTCAAAAATGTAAAAGGACTTAGTAACCGTCTAATTTTCTTTTCATTTAACCCATTTATTTTTATACCAAATTAAGTGCCCTAAGTACTATTCTAGGTGCCAGGATCAAAGCAGTAACAAGATAGACAATGTTCCTGCCCTCTCTTAGCTCACATCCCAGTGAGTAAATGAGAAAACAAGTAAGCAGTGTGTGATGACATGCGTGAGCATGGAGGACATTAGCTAAATGAAATCAGATGCTCACAGAAGAACGAGAACTGCATGAATCCACTTTTATGAGGTATCTAAAATAAACTCATGGAAGCAAAAACAAAAATGGAATGATGGTTGCCAGGGGGTGGGGGAAGGGAGAGTTGTTAATCGGGTATAAAGTTTCAGGTAGGCAAGATGCATAAGCTCTGGAGATCCACTGTACAGCGTGTGCCTGTAGTTATCAGTACTGTATGGTGTACTTAAAAACCTGTTAACAGGTTAGATCTCACATTAAGTGTTTCTACAATAAAATTTTTTTAAATGGAAGAACAAAAAGAACCCAAGTAAGCAAGCACTGTCATTCCCTTGATGTGATGGAGGGTGCAGGTGTGAGTGCCGTGTTTGAAGGGCTGGGCAGGAAGGCCCTTTTTAAGGCAGCGGGCAACACAGAGATGAGTGAGGAGGAAGGAGTCACCAGGGAAAGGGCGAGGGCTGGACTGTTCAAGCCAGAGGGAAGTGCAAGCCCCCGCCCCTGAGTTGCAAAGGAACATGCTTGAGGAACAGAAGGGGAGCCTGGGGCTGGCCAGTAGAGGAGCAAGGAGTCCCTCCCTGAGGCTGGAGGAAGAGGGAACAGCCAGACTGTGATGAAGATTGGGCTCCATTTTGAATGTGATAGGAGCACTTGAAGGGTTTTAAGTAGGGGAGTGACAGGATCTGATTTACATTTTCAAAAGTCACTCTGACAGACTTAGGTGGGAATCTAGAGAAATTGGGATTTTTGAACCTCAACCATGACTGTGCTTCTGCACCATGAACTGGAGCCTGCAGGTCCAGGTCTGTCCTGCTACTCGGGGGTTTCTCAAACAGACAGCTGTTGTAAAAGCTTCTCTGTGTTGAGCAACAATAGACCTAAAATACCTCTTAATTTCTTTCTGCTTGCCTGGTGTGTTCTAAAATATGTAATTATGCATGTGAACATTAACTTGGAGGCAGTTAAGTGAGGGTGGGTTGTGGCAGTAGGCTCTCTCCAGAAGCATGGGCAGCTGAGTGGAGTTGGGGTCAGGGCTAGGAAATGTACTTGGGATAGAGGTTTGCAGTTTTCCCAGGGTGACAAGTACCCATCTTGTCTTCTGGCCACTCAGCAAACCAGGGCTTTGGCTCCTTCACTGGTTCATCTCTCTTGCTTGGCCATTAGTTAGTGAGGTCTCTGAAGGCCTAGTTCTTAGCCCTCAGCACCCTTGCGTTGATGCCCATTCCCCTTGGATGTCAGCCCCTCTTAGGACACAGAGACCCTCTAAATCCACAAGGCTGGCTCATTCTCTGGGGCTGCCAGTGAAATCTGTCACATAATGTGTTGGTGAGTCCTCCCATTTCTTGTCAAAAATTAAATCCCCTTCCAGGCTTTCCCCATCACAGTCATGTCAATGTCCGAGACAACATTCCTCATCCTCCAGATGCAAACACTTGGGGTGCTTTGGAGTCCTTTGCTTATGTTCACAGAATGTTAGAATGGAAGGGCCTTGACGATTATGTTCCACATTTCACTAATATTTCATTTTTAGAAGATTTCTCAGATTCACTCCTCACCCTGATCTTGCTGTTACCACTTTTGAGGAAAAACTTGTTAGAATTATTTGTCTTCCTAGCTGTGCTATATTTGAATTTATTAATGAGACAATCCAGATTTAAAAAGAAAAAACTAAGAGAAACTCTCAATACTTGAGAATTGAGATGCATAATTTAGTTCCCACCATATATAGCTTTATCAATACAGATGTTCCTGTGAATAAATGTATCTTTTAAAAAAAATTAAAAAGAGCCCCTGGTGACTTACTCAGGATATTTGCAATGTAGAGACATAGTTTTAAATGTAAAAAGCTCTGAGTCAGCGATGTTGCTTAGAAAGATGGGCTGTGAGATCCATGGTCTTAGGCCACTGCAGATGGGTTATTTACTTGACAGGCCATTTGTTAAGTGTTGTCGCTGCCTTCTTTTGAATTCTTTTCCTAATGCGTGCGCGATCTTTCTGCCTTATGCGGTTGCTGCATCTGGTAGAAGCCATAAATGTTTTTTTCTTCCTTGCAGGAAGAGTCTCAGATCCCTCGTGCCTGAGATTAGATTCCAAAGAAAATGGGAGGTGGGAAGAGGTGGGACCTGGAATGCATTCTGGTGAGCGTGGTAGTGGTGACACCGAGCTTGGAGGGGCAGAGGTTCTGGGGTGGAGTCCTACGCGCAGCACTGGAGACGGGGAGCCCCTTTCCCTGAGTCCAGTGGCAGACATGGTTGAGTCCCCACTGGAGCAGTGGTGGTGTAATTTGTCAACAGTTCCTGACTGCAACACCTCTGAGCCTGGCTCTCAGGCCCTGTCAGAGATTGTGCAAACTGCCTAACCTTCCTTAATAAACTAACCAGAGTGGGTTCTGTTTTTTTTTTTGCCACTGAGATAACTAATATACTTACCTGATGGACATTGGAGATACCTAGCTCAACAGGGGGAGCGCATGATCTTTAGTTAGCTTTGCCTATGAGCTGCGTCAGTTCCACAAACCAGAATTAAACAAAATTAGAGCTATTTTTGCATCAGTAACAGAAGCAGCCTGTGGAATGGAAAAGGCATTGGATCAGATGCAGAAGACCAACACTCTAGACTGCCGTACCTCTCTTGCTGCAGTGGTTTTGTGTGAGTCGCTTCTGTTTGGGCCTTAGTTTTCTTATTTGTGAGATGAGAGAATTATACCAGATAAACTCTAAGGTCTCTTCCAATCTCAACAGCCTCTGCTAAGCAGCCTTGCTGTTTCTAATATTAGAGAGCAGCTTCTGTTGTCTAGATATGTGCCAGCCAATACAGTAGCTATTAATCACTCATGGCTATTTAAATTTAAACTACTGAAATTCCATAAAACTACTGTGATGTGATATAATATGAAATATATATTTGGTCTCTGCCTCCCAGTTTCCAGCACAGAGCTCCTAAAACACTTAGATGGGGACACTAGGATAATATTTTGTCCTGATACTTGATCTTTGACCCCAGTTCCTGATGCAGAGTTCTTAAATCCCTCGGAATTTCCTGAGTGATCAGAGGATCTTTTGTTCTAATGAGACAACTCTTGGTGGGCTTTTGGATAGCATCAGGATGGGGGCTGGGTGCCAGGGTAACCAACCATTTGATAAGAGGATTGGAACTTTTAGCCCCACCCTTATCACCACCTTCCAAGAATGAAGAGGCTCCTTCATTCTCTTCTTTCCTTTAGTGCATGTGTCTAGGCTGGCTCAGCACCCAGCTCAGACTCCCCTGGAAGCGTCAGGTGCTCCCTTGCAGCATGCTGTGTGGTCTCTCGTGGTTTTTCAGCTCAGGCTCCCATGGCTGATTGCCTGGGTTTGTGTGCTGGATGCATTACTCTTGACCATGTGACCAGCTTAACAGCTTCATGCTTCACTTTCCTTATCTGTAAAATGAAGATTAATAGTAATACCTATTTCACAGGAGGTTTTCGAGGACCAAATAACATAGTACACTTACAGTGCTTAGGATAGTGCTCAGCAGTAATACAATGGCTGTTAGCCATCACCATTATCAGCATCATAAATTTCCTGGCTATCTTGTCATTCTTTGGGATCTTAGCAGACTGAGTGGCAACACCTTTAAAAAAATAAATAAATAAGGGAAATGAGTGATTCTGCTTTTGCTTAAGGTTTGGCGATTCACAAGCTCCCTGAGGGCCAGAATCGTGGGGCTTGCTTTCTACTGCAATTTCCTTTGAGCACGTGACAGAGGATGGTGCGCCAACAGGGTGGCCCTAATGAGTGGAGTTGCCATAGGCCAAACCCAGGCCATCTCTAGTGTGTACTAGCCATGTGACTTTATTAGCAAATATTTAATAGCACTGCTTCAGTTTCCCCATCTGTGAAATGGAGACATTGTCACCTTTGAGAGAAAAGTCAGATACTTTGAAACTCTGAGTTATGTCAAGCAAATAAATAAACAAATGGGTGAAGTCAATCACTCTAAACGCATGAACCCATTCATTTGTACATCAGATGATTTTTAGCATCTACCATGGGCAAGAAACCCTACTTGTTCTTGGAACACAGCAGTGAGCAAAAAGACATGCAATTCCTACCGTCTGGGAGCTTATTATGCTTTAGGAGCAGAGAGGTGTTCATCAGGTGATCATATGCATATCTGCCTAAGTATAACAACCAGTAATGCCGAGAGAGAGAGACACATGGTCCTACAAGTGTGTGTCACAATGCACCAGACCCAGGGGTGGTGCAGGGGCTGGTCATGGGGAAGGTTCTCCCAAGATCTTTGGGGTGGAAGGTGGAGGGAAAAGCATATCAAACCCCTGTGGTAGAAGGAGCAGGGTGCATCATAGGAGGAAAAAGAGAAAGAAGGTTCTTGTGTTCCGGGCGCTAAGAGTGATGGGCACAGTGAGGCTGGTAGATTGTCCATGGCTGGGCCATGTAAGGCCTTGAATGCCATTTTAAAGATCAAAGTCAGTTTTAGGTGCTAAGCAATAGCCTGGAAATGAATGACTAAGGAGTTTCCTGGGGAAATGTAACAGTAGCTAAAAATTATGTATACAAATGTATCCTAGCATGTCTAAAGTTCTCATTCAGATGATGTAATTAACATATTGAAGGGAGAAACTTTCACTAGCAAATGCATAGTATAGCCTATTAATTAATATGCTAAAGTGGAAGGATCTGTTGTGAGGAATATTATCACTAATCTGTTACCAATCATAATACCAATGTTTGCAATGATGTACATTTTTATATTAATTAGGGTAGATTTGTTTGCATTCAGATACCCTTTCCTGAAAGAGAAAAATGTGATAGTACCATCAGGGATCTGGAAATCGGGCATACCCTGCCGTCTGTAGAAATCTGTGATGCACCTATGTCCTGGTTTATCAGCAAGTCAAAATCCCCACGTGCTCATACGAATTATTACCCCCTGGGATACCATCCATTGATAAGTGCAGCCTTGGAACCTTGGGGATAGTTTCAAATGTTGATCAACATATAAGATCAAATTTTGTTAGAAAATGGGTGCCGGGTGTGGTGGCTAAGGCTGGGCGTGGTGGCTCACGCTGGTAATCCCAGCACTTCGGGAGGCCAAGGCAGGCAGATCACCTGAGGTCAGGAGTTCGAGACCAGCCTAGCCAAGATAGTGAAACCCCATTTCTACTGAAAAAACAAAAATTAGCCAGGTATGGTGGCACACGCCTGTAATCCCAGCTACTTGGGAGGTTGAGGCACGAGAATTGCTTGAATCCAGGAGGTAGAGGTTGCAGTGAGCAGAGATTCTGCCACTGCACTCCAGCCTGGGCAACAGAACGAGACTTCATCTCAAAAAAAACAAAGGAAAAAAAAAAAAAAAGAAAACGGGGATATTTGTTGTTAAGCTGATGTACATCAGACAGAACACTGAATTAAGCAAGCTATGAGAAGCGGGGATATCAACGTGGTACTGAGAGATCAGTGTTTATTGTGACTTGTGTAAAATTTAATCCCTACTCTAGCTATGTGGTACCTTTTGAACATTCTTCTGGCTTTTAGGGAATTTCTAGCCTTACGTACTCTGCCTCCTCAAAGTACAAGTCAAAAAGTCACTCTCTGGGCCTCCCTTGCAGCTACTACCCCAGTGTATCCCAGGCCCAGCTTCTCAGGGACATCAAAGGGGTAACTGGGATTCAGAAGAGCATCGTGGGAATGACAGGGCCTCCCACAGAACTGTTTCCAGCAAGGATGGCAGAGAGACATGCAGCTTTCCCTGCAGCATAAACAGGGTTCTGCACCACAGGCGTCTGCTGTACATGCCACAGTGCTGCCAGCGGTGTCACCAGAAGCGGAGTGAACTGGAGGGGCCTCAGGGAGCAATGGTCTCCCAGCCTGATTTGCTGGCCCACTCAGGTATTCTGTGAGTACATGTCCTTTAATAAATTCCTTTTCTGCTTAGTTAGAGTCTGTTGTTTGCAACTAAAAACTAAGTTATGTATCAGACTGTATAAATAAGCATGGTAAAGGCAGTAATTCATTCTGTTCTCACAGCGACTCGGTGTTGAAGAGGGACCACGTGAGTCTTGAGGTAACTGGATAAAGTTTAATCCTTTGGTTGTGCTGCCAGTTCAAATGTTTCTGCTATGATGCAGGGTATACAAACTTGGAAAAGCTCAGGTTATGTAAAATTGCACACAAAAATCATAGGATTTATGGGAAAAATAGAGTTGAGTAAATGACTCAAAACCTATGCAACTTTGTCCAGAGCACCAAGAAAAACAGTAACCGTCCCAATAAGGATCTTAGCACATTTGAAATGTCATGTTGAATTCCTAGGAAATACATATTCTAGTAAATACATATCAGCCTTTACCTTAAAAGGTGAGGGTAACATGAGTAAAGGGGTATAAACAAGGGTTGGGGCTGTCAGGGCTCATTTGCTATGAATCATAATATTAATACCAATGTTTGCAATAATGTGCATATTTGCATTAATTAGAGGAGATTCATTTGCATTCAAATACCCTTTCCTGAATGAGAAAAATGGGTGACAGTACCGGCAGGGACTTGGAAATCAGGCATAACCTGCAGCCTGTGGGAATGAGGAGTACTGAATAAGGAGTTATTAACGGAGCAACGTGTTCTGGAGACAAAGGCCGGGAGAGATGGAGAAAAGCATTTGCAGACTTTGCACGGACTTGAGTGATGTCTGAGATAGATGGCTCTGGATCCTTGTTCTGGGTTGTTCTTTTACACAAGAGCCTAGGAGAACTGGGTGGGCCCTATGTGCTTCTAAGACAGCATGTTGACCGAACTAAGCCAATAGGAAAAAGAGGCAGGATTAATGGGTATCTGGTACAATAATCTAGTCAATTCTTTTAGTGAATTCTCTGTTCAGATGCTCAAAGTATTGACAGGCTAAGAAAAAAAAAATGCATATAAACAGTCACAATTTCTGTTTTATAAGGATATTATTTTCCTGTTTACCAATTAGTCATATCAATTAACAACAAGGATACATTCTGAGAAATGCATTGTTAGGCAATTTCATCATTGTGCAACATCGTAGAGTGTACTTCCACATACCTATATGGTATAGCCTACTGCACACATAGGCTTTATGGTGGAGCCTCTTGCTCCTAGACTACAAACCTGTGTACTGTGTTACTGTACTGAATACTACAGGCAGTTGTAATATGATGTAGGTACTCATCTATCTAAACATAGAAGAGGTACAGTAAAAATACAGTATTATAATCTTATGAGACCACTATCATATATGCAGTCTGTTGTTGACTGAATCATTATGTAATGCATGACTGTACATATGAACTATGGTAATTAAAGTGTGAGTGTGTGTTATAGAACAGTCTGTATTTGAAAGTGCTGTGTAAACCTGAAAAGCTGGTGGACCTCTGGCCTGTAAATAAAGGGACTGTGGGTTTCAGATAGTCTCTAACATTGTTGAAGAGGACGAGGAAGAAGAGGAACCCAGGCAGAGGACTGGAATCTCTTGTCAATACAGGCTGCAGAGAGGTGGAATAGCTTAACAGTTAGAAGTGTAAGTTGTGGAATTAAACCACCTGGGTTTGAATCCCTACTCTACTGCATACTAAGTCTGAGCCTCGGTTTTTTCATTTGTAAGTTGGAAATGATAAATTTGCTAATGTATGTAAAATACTTAGGACAGTTCCCTAAGTTGTTATCTCTTATCTGTCCATCAGTCCACAATACCATCTGTTTCAAGGCTAAGGAGAGAAAACCCATATGAAAATGCCTCTCACAGGGTCTAAAACTTAGTAGGCACTCAGTACATATTTGTGGAATTTGAATCTGATAAGAAATATCGACATAACTGTAACTAACAGTGTTTCTTTTCCTGTCACCAAGTCTATGTGAAAAGGCTTGCTTAGTGGCAAGGGTGGGATAATCTTTTTTGACAAGACAGATAGAAGAGCATTTTCTACACCAACAGGTGATGATTCCTGGGTACTTGCAAGCAACATGTGATCCCAGGGGGAAGGTCCGACCTTCAAAATGTATGTGGACTAGAAAGAAAGAGCAGCCTGGTTTCAGCTGTGAAAAGGCCATTTAAAATAAAAACACTTTAGAAGCTGAAAGCCCATAGCATCTGTTTCTAATTGAAAGGTTATTTGCAGACAATGTGTTTTTCATAGAGTGACATTTATATGTGTTTATTAATATACTGAGTCTATTACAGTGAAATCCATTTTGGAAATGGAAATAGATTTTTGAACATTTTAATCAATTTTTAAGCAAAATAATGAACTGGAAAACATTTAGCTGAGAAAGTGCATCTGATTACACAGGCCAATTTTTCAGTTGTAATAAAATGCAGATATGTATTGTTTCTCCCTGTGCTACTGAGAGGAGGTTCCTTATTTTATCTCTGGACTCGATAACATTTTTCACTTTCATCTGATGCTTCAGAGGCCCAAGATTCCAGTCCTGGCTTTTCCATTTATTTCATGGCCTTAGGAAAGTCACTTCCCATTTCTGGACATCAGCTACTCATTGGTAAAAACACCTTATGATTTAAAAGGTCTCTTCTAGCCCTAAACTTATATAACTGTAGAATTCTGTGACTTGACTAAAGCAGGCAAATTCCTATAAGCAACTGAGCAATCCAAGAACCATGACATTCTCCAGACCCCATATTGGAGTTTTAGATACTGGATTTTATGTTTCCGTCGGCACCATGTGCAGAGCTCCTACCATATGCAGGATACTCTTAAGGCCAGTGATGAGATAGAAAGGTAAGCAACTACCTGAGTTTTCTGTGGTCTTGTTGGAGAGGGAAAACAAACATTTATGACATAATTAGAATGATTAAACCAGTTAGAAATGCCAGAGCACAAACCTTTGATAATTGTAGAATACGAAAGGAAGAAAGAGTCCTAGGGGGCAATGTGGAGAAAGGGACACATTCTTAAGGACAATATTTATAATGGAAAAATGAGGCTTGGGTTCATATTCTATTTACTGAGCCAAATCTGCACTACCTATTTTCTTTCCATGTAGGTTTTCTGGAATATACCCTAGTTGAGTCTTGCTCTCTCACTAGATTTGTGAGCATCTTGGAAGCCTCTCCTTGTTTTTCGGTGTGAAATCCCTGTGGCATCTAGCATGGCACTTTGTTCAATATAAATGTCTTGAATGGTGGAACACCCCTGATCCTCACCTTCCAGCCCTATCATTGCTCACTGGCACCTGAATTTGGATATGGCCAGGAGTGATAAGTGGGTGAGATGGAGGTGAATGGCACAGAAAAGCTGGCTCGTTTGTTGGTAGCTCTGCTGTTTTAGAAGTACAGATGGCAGCTGGCTGCTTCAGAAGACAGCATCTTTGGGGACTGTCAACTCCAAGGGAAATGGGGCTCGTTTGTTGGTAGCTCTGCTGTTTTAGAAGTACAGATGGCAGCTGGCTGCTTCAGAAGACAGCATCTTTGGGGACTGTCAACTCCAAGGGAAATGGGTATGCCTGAGAAAACTGCATCCCCAGATGCTGCTCTTGGGCTTATGTCTGGAGATGGTCTTTTCATGACTAAATATGTTTGTAATCACCTCTGAGACTCACAGACAACCTGCAGCTTTCTGTCTGTAAGAGCTTCTCCATCCTATCCTTGATGCATCTTGCTGGAACAGGCAGGAGAGTGGCAGCATTTGTATATGGTGCACCCACAGGTGTATTTTCAGAGGGAAAAAATCAAGCTATGTCATCATTGCTTTAAATTGGGGATCTTTAAATGGGTTCTGTAGTCCTGCCAAGGAAGCTACTGGTTAAACTGAGATTTAGGGATTTCCAATGATTTTGATCTTCCTGGCTTTCTCTCTAATAAAGAAATCAAAGATTGATAATTTAGTCTTACAAACTTTTAAAAGTTTCTGAGAAATCAATCCTGACTCCAAGAACAAAAAAGGCCCGGCTTGAATGAGTTTGTGCTGGCACCTGGCGGCTTGGTGATGCAGAATACTCACGGGTCCCCAAACTCACTGTGGAAGATGGCGTTAGGCAGGAGGCTGGAAGAGAACATGGATGGGGAGCCAGTGGGGGAAATGAGGAGTCTCAGGCTACTGTATAGAGTGGAAGGACATCTTTCCATACTGGCTAGCTGCCATGCACTGGGGTAATTGTACCTTCCCGCCCCCCACCGCCCCACCAAGTGTTCTCCTAGGTGCTGTTCTGGGCACTGCTGAGCAGGCACCTATGGTCTGTGAGGGGCATCCATTCTTTTCCTGGCTCTGATGGCTCACGTGGAGCCTGTCGAGTTTTCTTTTCAAACTTGATACTGTGTCACTGCACTGCTACCATGGTGGATTTGTACACTCCTGTTATATTTAACTTTGGCTACCTGAGGATGTGGGAGATGATTATTCACACTACACGGTGTAAAGATTTATACATATTTTTTTCCATAGGGTTTTGTTACATTTTGTTTATTTCATTAATGCTTTTTTTTATATAACAATCCCACCCACGTCCTGTACATGTACAGAAATACAGGTGGAGTACCCCTTATCTGAAATGCTTGGGACTAGAAGTGTTGAATTTTAATTTTTTTCAGAATTTGGAATATTTGCATATACATAATGAGATGTCTAGGGGATGGTACTGAAGTCTAAACATGAAATTCATTTATGTTTAATGTATACCTTATATACATAGCCTGAAGGTAATTTTATACCATATTTTAAATAATTTTGTGCACGAAACAGTGTTGACTGCATTTGGACAGTGGCCTGACACATGAGACCACATGTGGCATTTTCTACTTGTGGCATCATCACAGAGCTCAAACGTTTCAAATTTTAGAGTTTTGAATTGTGGATTTTCTGTAATAGAATTCCCAGAGAAAGGTCAAATATATAGGGTCTAGATTTACCCATCACATTAGTGCTAAGATACCTATAGAATTGTACCTCCTGTGTCTAACTTTCTGGCCTTCAACAAGGACCTTCTGGATTGGGTTGATCTCTCTTTGCCTTCAATGGGAGTACTGCTAGCAGGATGCACTGCTGAAGTCACTCCTTGTTAGAGGGTTGGCTTTGCATCCACATTTTCTTAACCAGGCTTCCTGACCAGCCTCTGCTTTTTGTAGAATTGTTTAGCTATGTTGAGCACCAGGGAGGAGCACAGAGGCCTCTCTGGGGCAAAGACAATGAATCCCAGCCCTGAGGAAGGCCACTGTTATGCATGGAGCTCTGGGTTATAGGACCTCCATTGCCAGCACTACTTCAACCTGGCCATGTGAACATGCCCATATCAGGCTCCAGTTCCTCATTTGCCAAATAGAAGACAGTGACTACGTAACAGGGTTTTGTGTAGATTGGGTTAGATGATTTATGTGGAAGAACTTGGTGGTACTGTACAGTATTGTAAGGTTGATTACTAGCCTGTTGCTCTAACCTAATGAGTTGTAATACTGTGGGGGAAGGGGACTGGGAAACATTGTGTGTTTGTGTGTGTGTGTGTGTGTGTGTGGGGTAAAATAATATAAATAATCTGTCTTTCATAGTTGATGATTCTCTGGACATTGGCTAGAATCCCTTTGGATGGGGGAGAAAGATCAGTAGGAGGGGGTAGACCAGTCCGCTTGGTGTGCAAACAGCTCTGTTCACACATCAGATGTCAGATTGGCTTGGCCTTTTATGACAGAAGCTACTTTGAGCGACACTCTTGCTGGTGTGTGTTTGTGTGTGTGTGCATGCGTGCATGCATGCGTGCATCCCTTCTTGTGCTGTATCTGCATAGAAAATATAGCAAAGGTTTTGATTGAAAATTTGGAGGTGGGGAAGACTCTGTGAATAGCACATCAACAAATAAACACACCCATGAAATAAACAGTGTTCCAAACCAAACCCACTACAACACAAACATGCAAATATGCTAAAAGCTGTGTAACCAATAGCATGGCCCCTTTAGCTCTGAATTACAGAGCCTGGAAGAGCAGCTTGCGGATGCTCAAGATTCCAGTAATTATTCAACTAGCAGCCAGCTCCATAACTCTCAGCTGCTCCTGGGGAGATTAGGGCATATGCATATCGAGTCCAGCTCCGAGCTGTCACTGGCCATTAGAGTGCTAATGACCAACTGATTTGGCTGCCTCAATGTGGTGGAATTCCTTTTGAAAGTATTTTCTTTTTAATTGGGGAAAATACGTTTAGAGCTTTAGTAAGTACCTCATCACTGAAGCCACTGCCGTAAAATATATAAATAGCCTATGTGAAAGTTCTGGGACATTTGTATGAATTTAGCCCATTCTAGCACACAGAATTTTACCATCCTTCATCCACCTAACCTGGAGTCTCTGATGCCTGTTGTTCCCTGAGGGCTCATAGCTACTGCTGGTATTTTGAGAATGAGTTTCAGAGCATCTTTTCAGTACTGAACTTTCTTTGTCTGAACAGAATGCAGCCAGTTCCCTACAGTTTCCTGCTGGGGAACCCAGCTGTCTGCTGTTTTCATGTGTGTCCAGCCCAGGCATGCTGGGCTCAGCACCACATTACTGCTTGTGGACTGAAGACTTTACAGCCTCTGCCTGTTAGTGATTGTATCTCTCCTCTGCTGTATCATTTACAGTGGAGGTGGAAGAACAATATGGGAGAATCTGTCTTTTCTTGAGTTGGAGAAGGATTTATGTCTCCTAATCAGCAGAAAGTTAATGTAACTGGGGCATTCAGATAATGAATAGGGTGCTAATACAGGTGATCAGGGGCAGTAGCAAAGACACCCCTCAGATAATTCCCCCATGGGGCTTCTGTTTGAGTTGGACCTTTGCCATACAGCAGGATTTGGCGATGTTGGCACTGTTGACATTTTGGACTCGTTAATTCTTTGTTGTGGGAGCTCTCCTGTGTACTTAGATGTTTAACAGCGTCTCGGGCCTCTGTCTGCTAAATGTCAGTAGCATCCCCCAGAAATGACAATAAAAAATATCACCAGATAGTGCCAACTAGCCCTGGGGTGTGGAGAGAGAGGGGAATTGCACTTGGTTGAAACCACTGTTAAAGATAAAATGTCATGTCGGGTTTTGAACTGTACCTAAAAGAAGGTGTAAAAAAAAAAAGGTGGCTATAGGGCTTCAAGTTTGAAATAATGTCTATTGCCTCTGATACATCCTCACCCAACTGCCACTGTAATGTAATGTCTAGAAAACACTGAGAAAAGATGAACAAAATAAACACTGAAAAGTAGGGCTGGACTTCAGTCTGTTGTCAGAATCAATGAGAAATTTCTCTTACTTTGGCACAGAAAGCTCACTTGTCTGAAAATGCTGTCAGTGGCTTGTGCATGCTGTGCTACGAAGTCCCTCACCCTTCTTCTGCTGTCTGCCCGTCCCACCAGTTCAGAAACATAGTCTGTTGCAAGCAGAAAGGTGGGCTGCCCTTCCTTGTACAAATACAGTGTCATTGTTGCATTCCGTCCCAGCGCAATTATTGTATCCCTCTTCTCACTTCATAGACACCCCCCTTTCCACACCAATGTGGAGACTCCAATAATAATAAAATGAGTAGACAGGAAGTGGGGAACACCGGATTGGGCCATTGGGGTTCATTTCTGTGTTCCGTCTTCCGTCTTCTGCAGGTCAGCTGCAGTAGGTGAAAATGGAGACAGGAAGGGCCCTGCTGACACATTGGGAAGGGCCATTTTAATGTGTCATGTTGGTTAATTGATCAGACAAGCAACGAATGGGATAGAGGAAAATGTACCCTGAAGGAAGAAGCAGGATATCAGAGAATACCTGTTGGAAACTTGAAGTTGGACTAGGACTGGCATCTCGTTTTGTTCTTTGAGTGTGTTGCTTGAGGAGATTTGATTGTTGTTTAAGGAGAAACAGAACAAAGTGAAAAGCAATAAACTGTTTCCTTTACCCTTTTCAATTGAAAGAAGAACAGTTTGAGAAACTCGAGTCATTTGAAGTTCTCCTTTATTAATTTTATAGAGAATTTTATGATTCTGGGTTTTATTGTTGTTATTGGTAATTGGATGATATAAAAATTTTTCAGTGATTTTGTCTTCTTGCTAATTAGAAATAGTGATGAAAGTATCTTTTTGTATTACAAGGCTTTTTTTTCCTTTAAACAATTGTACACATTTTGTATTTTTTTTTTTTGCTTTTCTCCATACAGACCTTTATGAGAATGGATTCATTGTATCCCGTAATTTGCTATTATAGTATGTAATGAAAATGAGATATTCATCATTGAAAATCACAGCAAAAGGCAATGTATTCCTCATTGATAGATAGCAGTTGTTGATAAATGCTAAATATGAATACATTTTACTTCATCTAAGGATTTATGTAGAGAAAATAAATAATATTTAGCCACTGAAGAAAGTTTCCACTGTAATGTAAGGGACTCATCACTCCAAGTCTCAGAGGAAAAGCAGGCCTGTGAGATGATTTATTATAAATATAAAAAACAGGAAAAATATTTTAAAACTTTAGTCTCATGTGGCATATATGAAATAAGAGTAATAAGCCTTAAATAGAGGATAAGAAGGGAAGAAAAATGGAGTTAAGGGAAATAAAGCATTTCTGGAAAAACAAGGATGCAATCACATAATTAAAGTTCTCTTTGGAGAACATGAAGATCAAAAGTGACACTTGAAAATACTCCTATGAGGAAGACAGTCTTGAGATTGTCTTCTACATTGTAGAAAAGGAGATACAAATATTGAGAGAAAATAATAAATACTAGAGATAACTGTAAAACCTGAACAATGAGAGCAGAAGCATTAAAAAGGCCAACATAAAGAAGAAGCTGTCCTGGATTTAAAAGGACTAACCATATTACAAGCAAAATACATAGTAGAAGGGGCTGGGCACAGTGGCTAATGCCTGTAATCCCAGCACTTTGGGAGGCCGAGGCAGGTGAATCACCTGAGATCAGGAGTTTGAGACCAGCCTGGCCAACATGGTGAAACCCCGTCTCTACCAAAAATACAAAAATTAGCCGAGTGAGGTGGTGGACTTCTGTAATCCCAACTATTCAGGAGGCTGAGGCAGGAGAATTGCTTGAACCTGGGAGGCAGAGGCTATAGTGAGCCAAGATTGCACCACTGTACTCCAGCCTGCGTGACAGAGGAGGACCCTGTCTGGAAAAAAGAAAATCACAGAAAGAGAGCCATGTGGAGGCACATTCTGCTGTAATTTTTGAATTATGGAACAAAAGAAAAAGGTACACAAGGATCCACACAAGAGACAAGGGTTACTTAGGAAGAGAAAAAAGGTGTAGGACATCTGCCTGGCAATACCTCAGGCCAAAAAAACAGTGGAACAAGGCCTATTGAGTACTGAGAGGGAAAGACTATGATTCAAGAATTTTATATCCAGTTAAATTGTTTTAGTGTTTGAAGCCAACTGAACGACTTCTCTAAAAATGCTTTAGGGTGCCTGCCCTGGACAAGCCCTCTTCTCACAGAATAGTCTTGACCTGGAAGGACCTATGGAGTAGGAAGGCCTTTGAGCCCAGGTGGCCTTGCCATCTCCTGCTAAAGTGGTAGGAGTAGGAGTGGCCATCCCTCAGAAGTAACCTGCGATTTAAGATCTGGTAAACAGGGATGAGGTGGGCCAGCTAGATTCTTCTTCGAGGATTTTGGGATAGAGAAAATGTTGCAGTTGGTTTTGAGGACTCGAGGTAGAGAGTCACAGAGATGGGGGTGTTGTCAGCGGCTCCCCAGTCTGGCAATGTGTAAACTGATATTGCAGAGGGCCAGAAGCTACGAGGAGGCAGGGATGCTGAGTGGGGTCAGAGAGGAGCAGAGAAGCCACACACAGAGACAGGGCAGCTGTTTCAGTGCCTTTTTTGTGCTCACGAAGCCCTGTCATCCTTTGAATTTTGTCCTGTGTCCTTCCAGTAAATCCTCCTGGATATGAGAGTGTGTATCTGTTCCTTCCACTCAAGAAAAGTTCTTCCTACAAGGGCATTCTCAGATCATCAAGGGCTTATGAAGCATGCCACCTGGCAGCCTTTAATTGAAAACATTGCTTGAAGTACACTAAAAATTATAAATCAAATAATAAAGAAGTGCGAAGGGATTGGATTGCTCTGTGGGACTCTCAGTAGGCTTAATACCTAATTTCTGCCTAAAGTCCTGAGGAGACTGGTCACCCAATAGCCACCCTGATGACTTGGTTACTCTAGTGACATAGAAGATGGCCGAGGGCTTGGTATTTCTTTTTCACAATAGCATCTGGATGAAACTAAAAAGTAAAGAATGTTGTTAGGGATTGTTATTCTCAATTTAGGCAATAATCCTGTAATCTGACATAAAAGATGTTCCGCAACAGCTTTTCTCCCAGGTAGCATTTATCATCAGAATTATAATTGCAGTTTAATATAGTGACAACAATGTAGCAAATATGAACATTCATACAATGTTGCCTTGAGAGAAAACTGGGGAAAAAATACCAAAATATTATGTGGTTTTCTTTGGTGGTAGTAAATAGGAGATTTTTTCCCTCTTACACACACACACACACACACACACACGCACACACATGCACACACACGCACACACACATGCACACACACACAAACACACGCTCTCTCTCTCTCTCTAACTCACCCTCATAGACATACACATAGTGTGTATAAAAATATATATATATAGAAAACACACACTATGTGTATGTTTGCTTCAATGAGTAGTTATTGATTTTTTTTTTTTAAGACATGAGGTCTTGCTACATTGTCCAGGTTGGAGTGCAGTGGCTATTCACAGGTGCAATAATAGCACACGACAGTTTAGAACTCCTGGGCTCAAGTTATCCTCCCCTGCTTAGGTTCCCAAGTAGCTGGAACTACAGGTGTGCCTCACCACACCCAGCTTAATTTTATATTTAAATAAAGTATTGCTTTATTTAATTTTTTTTTTTGAGACACAGTGTATCGCTCTGTTGCCCAGGCTGGAGTGCGGTGGTGCAATCTCGGCTCACTGCAACCTCCGCCTCCTGGGTCCAAGAAATTATCCTGCCTCAGCCTCCTGAGTAGCTGCGACTACAGGCGCACGCCGCCATGCCCGGCTAATTTTTTGTATTTTAGTAGAGACGAGGTTTCACCCTGTTGCCCAGTCTGGTCTTGAACTCCTGAGCTCAGGCAATACGCCTGCCTCGGCCTCTCAAAGTGCAAGGATTACAGGTGTGAGCCACTGCGTCTAGCCAAGTATTGCTTTTTAAATGAAAAAATATAAGACAATATATTTTTATTTTATATTAAAAAAATAGAGACAATACTGAGCAATGTTTCTGAATGAAACCACAATAATGACTTACTAAGAACATCCTGTGCATGGAGTATCATGTTTAGCCACTTGACCAGCATTGTGTCCCCAAATCTTCCTGTGAATCCAATAGACTGTGGGGTTTTGCCATTTTCTAAATGAGGGGAGACAAGCTCTTTGAGGGTAAAGGCTTAACAAAGTCTCACAGGCAGACATAAAGCTTGACTGCTCTAGAAAAGAATACCAGCCAGCTGCGGTGGCTCACGCCTGTAATCCTAGCACTTTGGGAGGCTGAGGCGGCAGATCACTTGAGGTCAGGAGTTTGAGACTAGCCTGGCCAACATGATGAAACCCCGTCTCTACTAAAAATACAAAAATTAGCTGGGTGTGGTGGCGCGTGCCTGTAATCCCAGCTCCTTAGGAGGGTAAGGCAGGAGAATCACTTGAACCCGGGAGGCGGAGGTTGCAGTGAGCTGAGATTGTGCCACTGCACTACAGCCTGGGTGACAGAGTGAGACTCCATCTCAAAAAACAAACAAAAAACAAAACAACAGAAAGAAAAGAATATCTACATTCACAGGGAACTTCAGAGGTTTAGGTGGAATGTCAGCATCCCCCCTGGTCTCCTGGTCTGAATGACTCAGCTGAGGGCCTGGGAACGATTTGCTGTCTGCCCAGTGCCCCAGGCCGACAATGTGAGTGTGGCCTCTCCCTTGGAGAATGTTTCTGCACTGGCCAGGGAGTTCATCAGCGTCAGCGCTTATTCCAGGGAATGTCTGTGACAAGGGTCTGAATGGGGGATAACTGGCCAGTTGGTGGATTCATCTCCTCCTTCCTTCTGCTTTCTCTTTTCCTCTCCCTTGATGTCCCTTTGGCTGTTTTCCCCATCTCCAACCCTGCTTTTTGAATGACAAAGGAAAGTGAAATTCAAACTGTTTCAAGATGAGAGACAGGAAGTTGTCACTATTGACAGACGACAACCTACGTATCCTTATAGGTCTTGATTACTCTTTCTCCATCTGCCTGCCTCTCCCACCTCTGGGCAGGGAATAAATAGGTAGGGGTGGGAGGTTGGCCTCCAACTGCCCAAATTTCTTGCTGTCACCTAAACTGTTACCCCTGGCTTACCAGGGACATGGTCATCCCTCTGGTGTATTTCAAAACACATTTTGATTTCTTTACAATTCAGCAAATGCCTTAGTTTCTTTTCCTGTTTCTGTCATAGCAGTGTTAGGTTTAGGAAATAAGTAAAATTTGGACAGTTTTTGCCGCATCAGTGTTTTAGTTAAAAAAAAAATATATATATATATATATTGGTTGGATGCAGTGGCTTGCCCCTGTAATCCCAGCACTTCGGGAGGCTGAGTTGGGAGGATTGCTTGAGGCCAGGAGTTGAAGACTGGCCTGGGCAATATAGTGAGACTCCATCTCTATAAAATAAAATAAAATATTAGCCAGTCATGGTGGTGTGCACCTGTAGTTCCAGCCACTCAGGAGGCTGAGGTGGGAGGATAGCTTGAGCCCAGGAGCTCAAGGCTGTGGTGAGCTAGGATCAACCACTGCACTCCAGTCTGGTTGACAGAGTGAGACCCTGTCTCTGAAAAAACAAAAATAAAATAATATTGTCTTAAATCATATTAAGTATACGTGTTGTATATATATTATACATATATGGATATATTTATGTGTCTGTATATATTTTGATTGTTTGATTGTTTTACATTTGCAAAAGGTTTAGGGGCTGATCTCAGAGCTGTTTGCCAACAGAGGTAGATTAATATGGCACCGCTGTTCACAGACAGGCATCATGGGGAGAACTGCATTTGCTTCATTGTAATGACCACAGTTAAGCAAAGCTTTTGATTTTCTTTTTCTGAAGCCTTTATGGAACGTTAGTCCTGCCAAGAAAGCGAAAACACATTTAGTGAGTTTGTAATCAGGAGCTGATGGAATAGCCTTTAAAAAAGCAGACATTTTTAAAAAAAGAAATTCAGCTAATTTCATAAATGTGGGTTAACAGAGGCAGGGAAGTTAGGGGAGGATATAGGAAGGGTAAATTTCATCAGTAGGATGGTTTGGCATGCTTTCTCTGAATTTTTTTTTCCTCTAATTTTTCTCTGAAAAATTAATAATGCTCCAGGGTGTTTTTCTTTTTTTTTTTCCTTCTTTTTCTGTGAAAAATTAAGGGAATTGTTCAAATAATCTCTCTTCACTCTTTAAAAACTCATGTCTGGCTGAGCTTGGTGACTTGCACCTGTAATCCCAGCATTCTGAGAGGCTGAGCCAAGAGAATTGCTTGAAGCCAGTAGTTTGAGACCAGGAGTTCAAGCCTGCAGTGAGCTGTGATTGTGTCACTGCACTCCAATCTGGGCCATAGAGTGAGACCCTGCCTCAACCCTCCCCACCCCTTCAAAAGACTTCACGTGTTTTGAATTTTAATTTTTCCAAATTTTTCTTTGAATTCATTTTTGGGGCTCTCATTGTTTCTTCATAGGACCCTTCCAAAGGCCTTCCTGCTATGCTCTGTATTATTGCCTACATTCTTTTGCCTCTAAGTCCATCCTTTCCATGAACTCCTTACCTTAACAGAGCATGGATGAGAATCTAGCAACATCCTCAGAAACCTTGGTAGCTCCTCTCTGCCCATAGGGATAAATTCATCGAGGCCTCATATCCAGTCCCAGCTCACCTTTCCAGCCCTATTTTTCTACCCTCACTGTCTCCACCTTCCACATAATCTAGATAGCTGAAGCAGTTCTTGGTCCCAGAACACACTGTTGACTTTTCTGTTCTCTGCCCTTGGGTTGCAGGTGGCCTGTGAGCTGTCTGTAAGATCCAAGATCTGTCTGTTTCGGGGTCTTTGGCCCTCTCAAACACTAGACCCTAAGAAAAGACTCTTTATTTTCTGCAACAGATGGAGAAGGAAATGGTATGCACTGCCCGTGCCCTCTATTCACCCACTGCTGGTCCTGAGGTGTGGGAATCTCTCAAGCTCTAGGCATCGCCACTGGGAGGGGATGTAGCTGGTGATATGTACAGTTTTAGTGACTTTTGACTATATGGATTCCTGTCAAGGGACCTTGTCAAGTATCTTTACCTAGAGAAAGTTAGAAGGGTTTAATAAGTCTCCAGGGTGTTTTGTTTTTTTCTTTTCTTTCTTTCTTTCGTTTTTTTTTTTTTTTTTTTTTTTTGACACAGTTTTGCTCTTGTTGCCCAAGCGGGAGTGCAAGGGCATGAACTCAGCTCACTGCAACCTCTGCCTCCCGGGTTCAAGGAATTCTCCTGCTTCAGCCTCCCGAGTAGCTGGGATTACAGGCATGCGCCACCATGCCTAGCTAATTTTTGTATTTTTAGTAGAAACAAGGTTTCATCATGTTGGCCTGGCTGGTCTCGAACTCCTGACTTCAGGTGATCCGCCCTCCTCAGCCTCCCAAAATGCTGGGATTATAGGCATGAGCCACCATGCCCAGCCCAGGGTGTTTTTCAGAGAAGATCTACCAGCTATTCCTAATCTAGTTCATACATGGGTTTGGTTCTCTTATAGGTGTCCTTCCGCTCCCAGTTCATTCAAAACATGCATGATCTTTCCTCAATATCTTATCTCTTCAGTAGTTGTTATGTCAGTAAATGGTGCCTTCACTTCTTCCATTACATGCACCAGATGGCAGGAGTTATCTCTGATACCTCCTTCGTCCTCACCCCTAAATTCCCAGGTCTGTTGATTCTACATACCTATGTCTCCCAAATGTTCCCACTGTCTCTAAATATCCATGGCTACTGTCACCTCTTATCTGGGCAACTGAAGTAGTTTCCCATCTAGTCAACATCCACATGTTCTCTTCCTCCTACCCGTTCTCCATATTGTAATGAGAATGGCTTTAAAAAAAAAAAACCACACAATTCTGATCAAGGTACCCTTTGCTTAAAATACTCCAGTGATTACCAATGCTTTGAAGATTTTAAGACAAAATTCTTAAACTGAACTATAAAATTCTCCTTGTTCAGGCCTCTTCTCTTACCTCTCGTACCTCTGCAACCTCATCATGCATTAGTCATCCCTCACTCTTAGCATTCAGCCTAATGAGTTTTCTTTTGGTCCCTTGGATGCCCATTTTCTCTTGCTGCCACAAGGCATTTGCACAAGCTATTCCATCTGCTTAGAATGGTATCCTTCTCTCACTTGCTTAATAAGCTTTCCCTTCACAACTCAATTTAGTCATGACTTCTTTTTTTTCCTTTTTTTTTTTTTTTTTGAGATCAGAGTCACACTCTGTTGCCCAGACTGGAGTGCAGTGGCACAGTCTTGGCTCACTGCAACCTCCACCTCCTGGGCTCAAGTGATTCTCCTGCCCCAGCCTCCTAAGTAGCTAGGACTACAGGTATGTGCCACTATGCTTAGCTAACTTTTGTATTTTTTGTAGAGATGGGGTTTCACCACATTGTCCAGGCTGGCCTCAAACTCCTGGGAACAAGAGATCCACCCACCTTGGCCTCCAAAAGTGCTGGGATTACAGGTGTGAGCCACTGCACCAGGCCTTAGTCATCACTTCTTCCGGAGACCTTCTCTCATCTCTCAGTAAAATTGTGTTGTTTCTCCCTGAATAGTATGTTTTATCTCTCCAGAGCCTCATGACAGCTTTTCATTTATTTCTGAAATGATTTGGCTGCTTTTCTTCCCTGTTGGACTGTAAGCTCCATTAAAGCAGGGACCACGTATAATTTTGCTTATGTCACCAACACTTAGCACAACACCTGGCACTTAATAGGTTCCTTTAACTATTTGTTGAAGATCATGAGGAAGGGCATTTACTTTGTTCATGCTATTTTCATACTACAGCTTTTTTCCTCCTTCTACTTAACATTTAGTCTAAGCATCCCTTTAGATGACACTATGCTGTTTCTCACCAGCCAGAATTAATTACTCTGTGCTTCAGCTGGTCAATTCAGCTAACATTCTTTCAGTGTCTACTACATGCCAGGCAACACACTGGGCCTTGGAGACATAAAAATGGGAAAGACAGTGTCCCTGATACAAAGTGGCCCATAGTTTACCTGAATGTGATGTATTTGAATGCCATACCAGGAATCTGAATAAAGTGATGGGAAAATACAGAAGCAGGACCATCCACTTGGCCTGAGGAAGCCATGAAACATTTCAGGGAACGTGATCCAGGGGCTGGACTTGAAGGTTGGCATGTGATTCCACCAGGCATGGAAGATGGAGGAGAAGGGAACTGCTGAGGAGGAAGCAGCTGGCACAGAGGTGCAGAGGTGGAAGATGAGTGCATGCTTGGAAAGATGGTGGTCCAGTGTGGCTGGGATGGTTAGGTCCACCGGGAGGTAAGAGGAGACACTGGGTTGTGGAGAGGCCAGGAAGGTGGGACCTTATCCTGTCTGGCATGAGGAACCTCCACATGGCTTTAAGCACGGGCTTAACAGCATCAGATTTCATTTTTAAAATGATAACCCAGCACTTGTGTGGAGAGCGTATGGCAGCTGGTGGTGGTGAGGATGGAGGCACAGAGAAAAGCAAGGCAGTGGTTGCAGTGACCTGGGCTATGAAGGAGCAGAGCCTGAAGCTTCACTGTGAAAGTGGGAATGGGGAGGTTGGGATGATTTGAGAGAAGGCCTCAAAGTCCAAGCGACAGACTTGATAATGAAGCCTGGGTGGGGAAGAATGTGGGGAGAGTGGAGACAGAACAGCTTGGGGTTTTTGGTCGGGTGAAGTGACAGATTGTGATGAACTGGGGCCATCACCAGGGCCTCTCTGGACCCTTTCAAATGGTCTCAGATGGCGTTAGTGGTTAGGAGATGGGCTGAAATGGAATAGAGAGAATTAACAGGTTAGGCCGGGCATGGTGGCTCACGCCTGTAATCCCAGCACTTTGGGAGGGTGAGGTGGGTGGATCTCCTGAGGTTAGGAGTTCGAGACCAGTCTGACCAACATGGTGGAACCCCGTTGCTACTAAAAATACAAAATTATCTGGGTGTGGTGGCGAGCGCCTGTAATCCCAGCTACTCAGGAGGCTGAGGCAGAATTGCTTGAACCCGGGAGGCAGAGGTTGTGGTGAGCTGAGATCGTGCCATTGCACTCCAGCCTGGGCAACAAGAGCAAAACTCCATCTCAAAAAATTTAATGGGTTACAAGACAAAAACTTTTTGATTCATAATTTGGATAGAACTCGAGCAGAAATTTAAGTTGGTTCTCCATGAAGAAGGAAATCACTGGACTTGTTAATGGTATTAATAGAAAATTACAGAAGCATATGGAATCCCGTTAAGAAAGTAGATCCTGGTCCCTCAGTAGTAGTCATCCTGGTTGTGATGAGGGCATATTTATTTTATCTGCGTATTAAGGCAGGTCCCAAAGGGCCTCTATTTGGCAGTTTTCCAATAATCTAGTTACTGTTTAGTCTCTAAAACATATTGGACACCATTTTGTGCATAACACTGAGTTGGGAGCTGTGAGGAAGATGATTAAATGAGTCATGAAAATCTCATTTCTTCCAAAGGCTCTGGGAATTCAGACTTCCGAGTTTCCCTCCGCATAGCTTTAATTTATACATTTGACCAAGTCCTCCTGTGACTCCAGAACCTCACCGAACAACCTATTTCTGTCTGCCTGTACTGAATCTGGAGTATCTGAGCAGATGTGTTACCCCAGCCAGGTGGACATCTTAAGTGTGTGTGTACACAGCAGAGCAGATTAACTTTGGAACAATGAATGGCATTAAAAAGTCAAAACAGAACAATTTTCATGTAGGGTGGGTATAAACAACTGTATAATAAGGTGGTGTTTATAGGAAACAGTCCAAGAAGGTCTTGGGGAAAACTCTGAGATAATTGCATGATTTCCTCTCTTATTTCATACCCGACTATAGTCACTGACCCAGCAGTGATGGACTGTCCTCAGAGTCGCCATTGTCTTATGGAACATTTCTGTTCTGCTGTCAGTGCTCACTGTGGGCACCAAGGCAGAGGAAAATTGGGGAAAGCACCGAAGAACACCTAGGAAAAGGGCCAGACCCAATTACCAAGGCTGAGCCAACAACTGTCTGGTCTGACCTTGGCCTATGTTAATGTCCTGGACAAGGCCCAGTGCTTTAAGGGTGCGTTGTTGGAGGTGATACAAGGACTAACTAAAACAGTAGCTGCTTTAAAATGTTGTATCCCCAGAGTCTACAAGGCCTGGAAAATAGTAGGTGTTTAATAAGTGTTTGTAAGTTGTTTGAATGAATTAATGAAGAACAAATTGATGAATGGATGAATCAGGTTCCAAGCCACAGATCTGGAGTAGGAACCAGGAGACTTAGGGGAGCTCATGAGGCAGGTGGTAAAGAAGGTGGGGACAGGCACCCAGATGTGGCTTGATGCTCCTGCTGTGCCAGGGCTCTGGCCCTCCTTGGTGCATGGAGAATTAGGTAACAGGCTAGTTACCTAATTATTTGATTCATAATTTGATTAGAACTTGCACAGAAATTTAAGTTGGATCTCCGTGAAGAAGGAAATCACTGGACTTGTTAATGGTATTAATTGAAAATTACAGAAGCATATGGAATTCCTGTTAAGAAGGTAGATCACGGCCCCTCAGCAGTAGTCACGCTGGTTGTGATGAGGGCATATTTATTTTATCTGCCTATTAAGGCAGGTCCCGAAGTGCCTGTATTTGGCATTATTCCAATTGCTGTTACCTAATGCCTAATAGACCCTGCTCACTGGGGGAAAAGTATTCTGAAGTTTACTGCCAGGCTCATGGGTTCAGCCAGGGCAGGGCTTCTCAGATGGCAGTGCAGTGCAGCAGTTCTTAAGAACATGGATTCTGGAGCCTGGCTCCCAGCTTCCATTCTTGGCTCTGCCACTTACTACTTTGGGCAAGTTGCCTAATCTCTCTGTGCCTCAGTTTGCTCACCTGTAAAATTGGGATAATAACGGCATTTACCTTGTAGGGTTGTTGTGAGGATCAAATGGCATAACACATGTAAAGCTCTAAGGTAGGCATGATTGTTGTTTTTGTTATTTGTAATTGTTTTTATTACTGTGGGTGAGGAAAGAATGATCAGATGTTGTCTGTTTTTCAGTTTAGGTTTCTATAATGAAGGGTTGGTATTGAGCCATTGGCAATAAAGCCTTTTAGGAAATGCATTTTGTCAGTTACCTGTGAAGGATGGATTGGCAGAGTGTGGTATTGTGGGGAGGTTTATATTCAGAGTCCATGGTTCTCTGAAGTCTAGGGTAAGCTGGCAGGACTTCCTGAATTCCTGAAATTATAAGAAGAAGAGTGTGCAAAGGGGTGAGAATCCATAGTTCTAGTCAGTCAGTGCTCAAAGGCCATTTGATGGGAAGACATCCATATGCCTACAGGGTCTGGTAATAAGGAGACCTGAGTTTTAGGTTCACCATTTACTTGGAAGAGTTGTGGGCAATTTAGACTTCATTTTTTCCTCTTTGTAAAGTGAGCAGAATAATACATCTCTGTTTACCATATGGCATTATGATAGGATAAAAATAAAGAAGCTGGGTACAGTGGTGTACGCCTGTAGTCCCAGCTACTTGGGAGGCTGTGGTAGGAGGATGGCTTGAGCCCGGGAGTTTAAGGCCAGCCTGGGCAACATAGCAAGAACCCATCTCAAAGCAGTTTGAGAAGATTAAGATATCCATAAATAGAATAAATTCTGTTGTTCAGTTGAATCATACTACTCACTTGCATTCTGCCTTTCTAAAAAAACAGAGTTGTCATCTATCCTGGGACACATGTACCAAGGGCTCATCAGAGCCACAGAAGAGAATGTTTACTGTCTCTACTCACCCCCTTATCCACTATCCTCCCCAGGCACTGTGCCGATTTTCAACTGCAAGCCTTTGTGCTGTTTCCTGAAGTATTTGTTCTTTCTACTTCTGATCATCTAAACTCCACTCATCCTTTCATGCCTAGCTTATGTCTCACCTCTTCCCTAAAGCTGTTTGATTATTCCAGCCACACAGACTTCTCTCTTTTCTGAAATCTGCAGATCAGCACTGACTTATTCTTCAGCTGGCTGAGATTTCTAACTCCTTTGTAAATGCCTTGGGTATAAGAGCCATGGTTAGTTAATATATGTACATCCAAAAGCACATGAAAGAGAAGAAATCTGTCTGTACAGTAGAAAAAGCACAATGGAGAATGGCTCCTTCTCTCTGCCTTTTACCCTGTGTGTGTCCTTGGGTAAGTTATTTAAACTCCTTTGAACTTCAGTTTCCTCAACTGTAAAATGGTGATAATACCTACTTCAGGACTGCTGTTCAGCTTAAATGATATGAAGCTGTGAGCACGGTAACGAGCACATAGTAGGTATTCAGTTAATGTTGTTTTGACCCCCTTCTCTCCTGCAGGGGAAGACTAGGGATGAGGGAGAGAGGTGGAAAGGAGATACTGTTAACCCCACCAAAACTCAACATTGAATTATCAGTGGCTTGCCTAATCTACAGAAGTGATGCCTTTTTTGTTTTTGAGACAGAGTCTCACTCTGTTGCCCAGGCTGGAGTGCAGTGGCATGATCTCAGCCCACTGCACCCTCTGCCTCCTGGGTTCAAGTGATTCTCCTGCCTCAGCCTCCCAAGTAGCTGGGACTATAGGCATACGCTACCACCCCCAGATAATTTGTATTTTTAGTAGAGACAGGGTTTCACCATGTTGGCCAGGCTGGTCTTGAACTCTTGACCTTAAGTGATCCACCCACCTTGGCCTCCCAAAGCTCTAGGATTACAGGTGTGAGCGACCACTCCTGGCCCAGAAGTGATGACTTTTTAAACAGGAGTGAGAACTTCTCCTAAAGACTGACACAGAGCTAAAGGACAAAGGGGATGTAAGAATCCTGACATCAGCTAGAGTCTGAGTTTCAGTAGTAAGTTAGCCCAGATCTGTGGGTTTTTATAAAAGAACTCCATGTGGCTGGAATAATCAAATGTCTTGGCTCTTCTCTGAAGCCCAGGGTTCCTTGTAGGATGTGATATGTACTCCATCGACCGAATTAAAGTGCCTTCAGAGGTTCTTAGTGCGGCCCGCTGCAAAGCCCAGGGAGAGAGGGGATGTCCCAGCGGCGAGCAAAAGCAGAATCCTTAGCACCCCCGACCCATGGGGAACTGGAAGGTGGGGACCAGTGCGACTCATCACAGTTCTGAAGATTCTGCACCATTTAGAGACAGTGCAGATTTAGCAATTATTCTGAAAACTCTAACCCTGCTAGAAGATTGGTAGGTTTATTTTTGTTTTTTAAATTGTGTTTCTGAGTAACCCCCTAGGACAGCCTGCTGGGCTGTTGGCTCCAGAGACCAGGCAACAATGACTTTAAAGTGATTAATGCTTTCCCCCTTCATTATTCAAGATAAAACTTTATCATCACAAGGAACTACTTAATCAAAATGACAGGAATCTTCTCAGTTATATGAAATTTATTGGAACGGTTCTTTTTTAATCTCTAGTCATAAAACCATTTTAAGCTGTAAATTTCTTAGCAACATTAATGAACGATTTATTGAAGGGAAAACAAATTGGATTATCAGCTCCCAGCCTGCTTTGGTAACCCAGGTACTTTACAGAAGCTTTTGCCTTTGTAAATAGACGTGCAAGCCTTGCAGAGAGGCAGAGCTCCTGAAAAGTTCTGTGATGTTGAAGTCTTGGAAAGTGAACCCAAGATTTTTATTCACCTTCAAGGCCATCTCATTTGTGCCTCAGTGATGATTTTCTGCCAAGTGGCTAAAATAGAATCAGATTGGAACATGAGCTTTCCTTACTGACCATCAGCTACAATACAATGCTAGGAGTTGAGTTTCCTTTCTTTGTGCTTCATAATCTATGACCCGCAGAGTGCTGCAGTTGCTTCGTCTCCAGCATTATTGATTGGCTTGAGGGTGGCTTTCTCCCCATTTGTATTCCTGGTGACAGCTCTAACATTTTGTGTCTATGGATAAACAGACTTGTGGAGAGCGAGGATTATACGCAGGGAAGCAGGTGGCAGGAATACATTTTGAGAAAGCTCCTCGGGGCAATGGAATTTTCCAGGTAGATTCTTCAGGGACTCACACAACTTTCAGAGGGCTCTGGGAGAAAGCTTGCATCTTTGACAAATAATCAGTGCTTTGCTTGTTTAAAATGTAGGTAACTTACATGTCCGATTTGTGTCCTTCTGAGATGCTGTTCTTGAAAACCTCTGGCCTGTGCCTTGTGCCTGGCTGAGATGGTGGAAATACGGGAAATGGACTTGGAGATGGAAATTTGTGAACAGGTAGTTCACTGGCAAGTGCTCGTGGGATGGACAACTTTGAAGGAATTAGGCAAACAAGATTAAGCAAGGGGAAAATTGGACTGCTGGGCAGTTGTGGCAGAGGCATCACCTAGTTGGCCCCATGTTGCTCTTGAATTGAGACACCCTTCACAGTTGTCCTGCCTTGAGTCAAGGGAACTGGATGTTTATAACCTTCTACCTCTTGACCAGTTATTGATGTGGGCTGCCTCCAGGAAGGGGCCATGTCAGTGGGTGAGGCAGCTCTCTTGGACTAAAAGCAATTCCTGGAGAGGGCTCAGCTGCCAGGAGAGCAAATGGGGCTACCCTTGGTTTGCCTGGTGATTATGTAATAATGGACCTCCTCATTCTCCTTGAGAAACCTTCCTTGGCTTTCTACCCTCACAGAATGATTCCTGCCCTCCTTTGAGTCTGACCTCTGTGTTCTTGTAGCTGTCTCTCTCTTTGCTGGTCTGTGAGGTCAGGGAGCAGGTCTCCTTCATCTCACATCCCCAGCCTTTAGTGCAGTGCCTGTGTTGAAGAGTTAAATGTCTTTATTCCCCCATTCAGGTGACTCTACCCCATCTTTGCCTGTTCCACTTCATCTCTCTGTCCTAAGATGTCAGCATCTTCTTGATGTCATTCCAACCCAAGGGCCTTTAAGGGGAGAGGAAGATGGGAGATGGAACCTATGTCTTGGATCCAGTGGCTCCACTGCTGCCCAGGAAGAGGGGACCAAGGCTGGCTTCCTGGCGCACAGCAAGAACAGCCAAGTCCTGTGATAGTGGACCCCAAGCTGAATTTTCAGGGTGTGTCCATTTGCTCTTCTTCAGCTGTCAACTTGGCTCCCCACTTGGTACCCTGCCGTTAGAGGCTTTGAAAGGGTTGGGGTCAGAGAGGCTACAGAGCTTCCCTAGATTCAGGAGCCTTCCAGATGGAGGGGAGGACATTCTTCTGCTGAGGCCCTTTTAGGATCATGGGGAAGATAGACATACACATTGGAAGGCAGAAGAGAAACTTCAGAAACATGAGTGAAGTGCAGAGTAATAAGACCTAAATTTACCCGTCTGGGTATCGGAGTTACAGTTCACCTAACAATGGGGTTTCATAGCCTCCTGAAGGTTTCAACCCTAGCCCTGCTCAGTGCCCACAGGGCGTCAGACAGTACTCTTCTCTGAGGCCAGAGTGAAACATCTTGGTGTTCAGGGCTGGCTTAGACCCCTGCAGTGTGAGCTTCCCAAATCATTTATCCGTGGACCTCAGCCTCTTTCCCTGGAAATGGGGATATAGGCTCAGAGCTGCTCAGACCACCCAGGGCTCTGCCTCCTCCTCTCCCTCTCTCCCTCTTCCCACCTCTTCCTCTCCCTGTATGGTTTGCTGGGCCGTGGCTCCACCCCGAGTGTATCCACTTCATTACTCTCCAGCTGCCTTCCACTCCTGCCTGGGGCTGACATATTACTAGAAATGGCCCTGAAATTGTTCTCTTCCCTGATAAAATATTCATCACTGGGATCTGTATTTTTATTGCGAACTTAAAGTGGACAGGCTACATTTCTGTTGTCATACATCATGGGCACGCAAAGCCTGCAGTGAGCAAGTGGAACCGGGGCTGCTAGGTTATGAACACTGCATGTGGAGGGGCAGGGAGGGGATGCATTTTAAGAAAGAGAGTAATAATACCGATGATGATGTTACAGATAGGTTAATGATTTTAGCATGAGGGCGCACATTATTGTATAATGAAAGTTTTGTTCACTGCTGCATCCTCAGTGCCCCTTTTAAGGTCTGTCATCGTGCTAGGGGTTCAAAAATATTTGTTGAGCTAATGACTTTGAGGAAAACTCTGACCCTCTCCTAATTCAGCTAGGGTTGTAACCTCAGTTTGCTGCTTTGTCCTGGCTTTTGAAGATGAACTTTGGTGGGATGCGGTACTCTGAGGACTAAGGGAGTTTTGCCCTTTGGTGCTGGTCAGAGCTCAGTGCAGGGTTTGTGCCTTGAAGGTTGAGATTTGGGTTTGGAGACAAACGCACCTTTCTCTACCCAGAGACCAGGCCACCCTCCCTGTGTGTGATTTGTGGGTGTGAGTCTGTGGAGGTGCTGTGAAAGTGTGCATGAGTGTGCAATGTGTGGGAATATACTAGCGAGGAGGCGGGGAGGTTTCAGCTTAAGCCCGTAAAAGTGCTAAGATCCTTTCAATGAGAAGGTGCCATCTCTAAACCAGGAAAGTGGGGTTTCCTTGACTTCCTCTCTTTTGTGATGGATTTATGTGGCACCATCTAGTCTTTCTCAAGGTGTGCCTTGTGGTTCACTGGAGATCTGAGGGTCAGGAGAGAGATGGAGGCACTGAAAGAGAGGGTGCCATCTAGCAATCTGCCCTCAGACCATTTGGCAAGGCTGGAATACACAAGGTTTGTGTTTGTTGAGTGGGTCCCCTGGAAGATGATTGGGCATGAGCCATCCTGCTGGTGTTTTCTCTTCTTCCTACCTCTGTCTTCTGAAGGAAGGCTGCCCACCAGATAAAGGGGGTCCCAGAAGCAAGAGGCTGTATATTGGGCCTCCCGTGATAGAGGCCAGAGGAAGGAAAGAATATGTTGAACTTAAGTGGGATATTTCACACCCAGGGACTTGAAGGGGGATCCCCTCAAGGAACCAATAAAAGTTTTCCACAAAATCCTGGCATTTAGAAACATTTGCCACAAAGAGAAACTAACAACCAACCAATTTGAAGAAGCAGAAACAGCCTACAGACAGAGGCTACCTCCTTGCCATAAGCACTCACTTGAGAAGACCCCTCTGCTGCCCGTAGTTCTACTCACCCTGACCCCTCGCTGTGACACCAGGGTGAAGCCCAGATCAGCAGGAAGAGAAAGCGTCAGCCTCCAGAACCCCTTCTCTGCAAGCTGAGAGAACAAGCAACAGATCTCGCCAGTGCTGGGGACAGGAAGAATTTTAAGTTGTGCGTAAGACTAGAATTGTGAGGTGAACAAGACTGGGAAGTCCTGGAATTGGGCCCTAGTCCTGTTAAGGGAGTTGCTGCCCATCAGTGGGAGTCTGTGGAGAGTGGGCATGACATAGAATAGTTGGGGGCAGTTAGGAAATTGTGAGAAGAAGAGATTCTCTGGACTTATATTTTCAGAGAGGAGTTTGTGCTATTTCAAAGCAGCCAGCCTTTGACACACTGTCCCTCATAACTGTTAGATAACAGGCTGGAACCTATTGGGTATTACCAACAAACCATTGAATTAATGGCTGAAGCCCATATATATTGGTTGACAGACATCCGGGACAGAAATGGTGCCCATCAAACCCTCTTAGAAGCCTAGTGGTAAATTCTGCACTGGTGGCCTCATTAGTATGCATGTGTTGGACTCCAATCAGATCAGGGCTGGGAAGTGTTATTAAGCCCTGTGAGGAGAAGTGGGCCAGCTGAGCCTGATTAATATTGATTGGAATTTCTTCCTACCAATACATTTGCTTATTAATGTCGATGTTTGGAGGCCCTGTTTTTGAAAGCATAGCCATGTTTGTTCTTTTCTCTTTCACATGTCCTTCCCCAATTTTTTTTTAAGACAATTTTCATTTGAAAAAGTATTTTGTGAGGAGCCAGAACGTTAGTGTGCAGGGAGTTTAGTCTATACTCTCATTTCTTTTCTTTTCCTCCCCTTCTCGTGGTCTTTTTCTCGTCTAGTCTCCAGCAGCAAGGGACATGGAGGGCGTGTAAATTGCAGCCCTTCCAGCCTCCTCCCATATTGTCTTATGTTGCCTGACCTCTGGAGAGAGTTTTCCCTCAAGTGGTATCTTTCCCCTGATTTTCTTAAAGATTCAAACAAACAGAACCTTCCATCATTTGAGTCCATTCTTGTGAAAAGGTCAGTTCTCCCAGGGCAAGGGCTATGTCTCTTCTGTTTATCACTGCGTCCTCTAGCTGTGGTCAGTCCTCAGATATTTGTTAGGTGCATGAATATATGATATAAATGCACACATGTCCACCCTGGTTCCCACTGCTCCCTGCTGCTCACCTGAACCCCAGGGGGCTGCCCTCCCTGCTGATCTGCCAACCTGTACTGCCTCCTTTCCTCTCATCGCCTTTGGGCTTCCAAACATCCTTCCTCCTGCTGATACACAAATATACCATCCTTTGGGCCCAGAGTGGCCTCCAAGAGGGGAGCTGATATGACAGCTTCACTCTCTTGCCATGTTTGATTGATTGCAGTTTGGCAGATGTTGTTGATTAGCTCTTTGAGTTGGAGACTGGTACTGATGAGACCAAGATGATAGAATTTAACTTCATATAATTTGCCCAAGAATAACAACTCATGGACCACAGATTTCACCCCTAACCTAGCCAGCCACTCATGAATGGGTGTGATTTTTTCTGGTAAAGTAAGGATATAAGAGTCAGCATAATCCAATACCACTGGAAAAACAGCTCAAAGCCACTGACCCCCTGAAGGGCTAGATAAGCAGTTTCCTCTTTTAAATGAAGGACAGCGTAGGATTGTGGCTGTAGAAATAGGGGATGGGACCCAGATGTGAGGCTTCCTGCAGACAGTGCTGATTGTCACCCACACTCACAGCAGGGCTGAAGATCAGCCCTTCCCCCTGAATGAGCTGGAGGAGCATGGGGAGGACCCAGTGGTGCCAAAGGCTCACAGGTGAGAAAGAGACCCTAGGAGGGAGACAGAATGTGGCTGGGACCAACTTTGAGCAATGAATGAAATGCATTAAGGTATGAAATGCATATGTTATTAACCAACACTTGCTAAACTGCTGGATATGTGATAGAGAAAGAATGTCTTCATTGTGAGTGGAGGACCCATAATAAATGCCCCCATGAACCTCAAAGTGTCCTTGGAAGGCAGATGAGTCCAAGATAAGCCAATCCCCTCCACTGCTTTCCAACTCCTGAAACCCCTGGTTTAGAGAGTTGAAATTTTGGAATCTTCCCCAGCCTGACGATCAGAACCTAAGTTGCACTTGTACACGAATGTCTCCTGTTTGGGTGGTGAATCAGGCCAGTTACTTTTTGGCTACTGTATTAGTCTGTTTTCACACTGCTGATAAAACATGCCCAAGACTGGGAATAAAAAGAGGTGTAATTGGACTTACAGTTCCACATGGTTGAGGAGGCCTCAGAATCATGGCGGGTGGTGAAAGGCACTTCTTACATGACGGCAGCAAGAGAAAATGAGGAAGAAGCAAAAGCGGAAACCCCTGATAAACTATCAGATCTCATGAGACTTATTCACTATCACGAGAACAGCACAGGAAAGACCAGGCCCTGTGATTCAATTATTTCCCACTGGATCCCTCCCACAACACGTGGGAATTCTGGGAGATACAATTCAAGTTGAAATTTGGGTGGGAACACAGCCAAACCCTATCACCTGTCAAGGAAGAAGTGGGCAAGGCACTTGGCTGGTTATGTGGGTGGCCAGGAGTATGTGGGTGGAGCAGGCCAGAAGACACTGTCCACATGGGCATTTGGGCTCATTTCCTAGAGGGTCAGAAGAGCATTCTTCCCGCTTGGCCTTCAGTGGTATCCTGGAAAAGTGGCTACACTTTAAAAAGAACTGGATCCCTAGGGTTTTTTCTTCCACTTGAGCAGTGAGAATGATTCAACCTTGTATTTGCGGATAATGCTGAATTGTGAGTTCCTTGGTGGCAGAGAGTTTTTCGTTACTCAGGTTTGAATTTCCCATAACACCTAACACAGAGCCTTCTGCCAGAAGATACCCAGCAATTGGTGGGTGGATAAAAAGCCAAGTGAATAGAAAACGTGTTTCACAAAACCTAGTGGTCTCAGTGTCCCTCATAGTTCCAGAAGGAATCAGGATAGTGGGAGCTTTAAAATGAAGGCTGGTAACTCTTTTGCAAAGAAGTGCTGCAGTAGAGTTCTCCTACCTGGCTAAGGTAAGAGGGGCACCCTGTGCTTCTTTCTCTTGTTACTTTATTTAGAAAGAAAGGATGCAGTTGTCCCTAAGAGCAGATGCTGGCCGCCTGCCAGGACTTGCCTTTGGGTCTTATCTGTTTGTGTTGGCTTGAGCAGTTTGTAATGATTGTAGAGGGAGCATAAGGGGGAAGGGATAGGGAAGAATAAATGTGCTTTCCACAGGCAGGAAATTGATGAGGTAACTTTTTTCTTGCTGCTTTCTGGTCCATTTTGAGAGGCTCCTGGTAGACAGAGCTTACAGGCTTTGGTGAAGTGAGGAAGAGAAATGTTTTATTTCCAAATGGGTAAGCAGTCTCTGCCATTTTCTTTGAACCTCCAAAATAGCTCTATAGGAAAAAGGCTTTTGAGCCATTCAGAATTTTGCCAGTTATTCTTGAGGCCAGGCATGCATGGGTTGGGGTCATGTGGCTGGGATGATGGGGCATCCTTGGGAAAGGTGCAAAGAGAAATTAAAAAGGAAGGTGCGGGGCTGTCTTGGGTCACCTTAGTGCTAATGATGAGGTCCTGTCTGGAGTAGTGAGGAGACTGTGCTTCTAAAGTTTCTGTTTATTTCATAGTGATATCAATTAGTGACTCATGGAATTAGATGGTATCTAACTTGGTAGAATCCCGTTCGGTCAGTTCATTGTCAGTTGATAGAAATTTGCTGAGCATTTGTTACGTGCTTGGCATTCCCATAGATATCACAGAGCATGAAGACTTATAAGGCAGAATCCATATGCCTAGGAAGTTTCAGCCTAGTTCAGATTATAGTCAGGCTGTAGCCTCTTATTGTGCTTTATTGTATTTTTAAAATAGTAATCTAAAAGTATTTACCTATTCATTTGCTTTTCTGTTTAAGTCTTCCCCTACTAGAATATTTCATGAGGGCAGGGACCTTCTCTGTACTCTTCATGATTTTAAATAAACAGTTTAATCTCTGTCTACTTGGCCCACAGTAGGTACTCAGTAAATATCTGTTGAATAAATGGAGTGGATAAGTGCTACAGGAGAGGTTAGTTGGTAAAGGTTGATGTGAAGCAGGATATAGTAGCAAATCTAGTTTTAAATTCCATTCAGCATTTATTATTCAGCACCCCTTATACATAGATCATAGCTCACTTTGCAGAGTTGCTCTGATGATTGGAAGTGGTGGAGCTAGGATTTGGACACAGGACTGTCTGACTCCTAAACCTTCATCTTTCCGCCATACAATTATGCCATTCACAAAAATGGCCAGGTTTTCCCACCAAATGTCCTGGAGACCATAGGTCAGAGACAGAAATCCAGATCTGGTCTCTGTGTGCTCAGAACAGGATTTTATTGTGACAATATGCTGGCTGCTCTATGGATGAGTGACTTACACAGATGTGGTGGTTCCTTCTTTTGACCATCCAGTCATTGATGTCACCCAGGAAAGTGTAGGTATTTTTTTGTGTGTGACATTATTGAAACAGTGTATCAGACTCTATTATCTGAGAAATTATGGCAATTCCTTCCCAAAGACATTTCTAATGAGGTTGAAAGCCTGCTCAGTCAGGTAATTTGGGAGCAGCTCTCTCTGGTAGTGCCAGGGGATTGGAGGCTTTCATCCACTAATCGTAGAAGGCCCTTTAAGCCCTGGGATCGTGTGTCTTTCTCCTGAGTTGGCTGCCTCTTAGCTCTGTCACTTGGCAAAGTTTTCCTGTGTGCTCCTTTCCCACGAACTCTTAGGATCAAATGAAAACCCTCAGTCCTGAGGCATTCAGTCCTCCAATTTCTCTCTTGTACCCTTCTAAGGACTAGGCCTGACCTTTGAATTGGTATTTAGTTCCTAAAGATGGTCCTTTATTTCTTTGCTTATTACTTCTTAGAATTGTGAACAAAAACAAGGAAAAGAACACGGTGAGAATATGTGTGACTTCCTCAGAGTCAAAGGTTTTTTTCCCCCACTTAAAAACAATGGGAATGTCCATATCTCACCTCTCTCATGCTTTGTTGGTTTTCCCCAAGTTGTTCTGAGACTTGTTTATAATGGGAAGTTATTCCCTGAGGAGACCTCTGGCTTCTTGGGGGCTCACCCTACCCAGGGCACTTACCTGTAAGTTAAAAAGAACCTTGTAAAGGGATGACAGCTATGACATCATTCAAGATAAACAGAAGAGGCTGGCCAAGGTGGCTCATACCTGTGGTCCCATTACTTTGGGAGGCTGAGGCAGGAGAATTGCTTAAATCCAGCAGCTCAAGACCAGCCTGGGCAACATAGACCCCATCTCTACCAAAAAAAAAAAAAAGCCAGGTGTGATGGCAGCACCTGTAGTCCCAGTTACTCAGAATGCTGAGGCAAGAGGATGGATCACTTGAGATCAGGAGTTTGAGGCTACAGTGAGCTATGATCATGCCACTGCACTGCAGCCTGGGTGACAAAGTGAGACCCTGTGTCTTAAAAAAAAAAAAAAAAAAAAAAAAAAAAAAAAAAAAACCAGAGTAGAATGTGGTGGATCGTTTTTTTCCTCTTTCTTTTTGATTTTAAAGACCTTTCAGATTAAGAAATGTCAAGTCCTGAGCTGCACTGACCATGGAGAGTGAAGGAAGCTAATGATCACTGAGGCCAGTATCTATGAGGTTCTTTGATACATCTTTTCTCAAAGAAAGAAGAGGAAGATGTGGTGAAAATGGTCATCTCCTTTCCAGGTTTAAAACAGAATCCTTTGCCCCGTTCCAGTTTCTAGCTGAGGTGTGGGGTAAGTCCCATAGAACTAGGTGATTTCTTCACTGGCCTGTACCCTTGACCTTCATCATGGCCTCGAGGTGATCTTGGGCCACTTGTTTGGACAGAGGGAAGGCCCTTTGGTTTCATCATAAAGAGTCTGTAGGATTAAAAGTCTGAGAACTTTTGAAAATAAATCTATTCATAGTGTTTAAATATGAGCAGGGTACTTAACCATTCTGCACCTCATTTTGCATAAATGTTGTATAAATAAGTCTAAATGTATAAATAGGTCTAAATGAAGAGGTTGGGCAAAGAGAGTTAGCACGGCATGGTGACAGGATGCCACTTTCAGAGATAGATGTGAGTCTAAATCTGTTTCCTCATCTGGAAAATGGGGGTTTTCTACCTCATATCATAGGTTTACGTGTGGCAAGTGCCCAGCCATCTGCCTGGTGCCTAGAAGGTGCTCAGTAAGTGTTCATTCTTACCCTTGTTTTACTGCTGCTCTGTATGCTACTCACATTACCTTAAACTGCTGTCATTTTCTCTTTTTTCTGCATTTATTTTATTTCTAATTGACAAATAATAATTGTATATATTTATGGGGTATAATGTGATGTTTTGATATATGTACACATTGTGAAGTAATTGTCAAAGTAATTAACATATTTGTTGCCTCCACGTACTTATCATTTTTTTGTGGTGAGAACATTTAAAATCAATTCTTCTGGCTGTCACTCTCAATGTTTGTTTTGTCTGTCAGGCTGAGGATACACTCCCTGAAGGTGGGGACTGTGTCTCTGGCATCTTCATTTTCCTCAATGTGTCCAGCACAGTGCCTGACACCTGATAGTCACTTACTAACTCCTTCCAGTGCATAGTGGCTGCTCATAGTAGATGTTGAGTTAAATGAATGGATGAATATGATGGAGACTAAACAAATACAATGTAAACTTACACCCTGTTGTATCAACCACTACAGAGCACTGGTGTCATGGGCACTGATGAAACCTTAATTATGAGATTACAACTTATAGATATCATTCAATAAACCAGCTCAGTTTTAAGTAGCTGTTGAACACTTAGGAGATAGAGAGTTGACTGCTGTTTCAAGAGCACCCTTTAGTGTAAACAATATTAGCAGCACAAATCAAGCACTAATTAGAGAAGGTAGTTGGAAAGGATATATATTTTTCTAATCTGCATCGTTGACGTTGGGGGCTTCCACTTAAACAACACATTAAGGAATATCACACTCATGAAGAAAAGAGTATTTACCAGAAAGTCTTTTCAATCCAATCACCAAGGGCCAAGGGGTGGGGGGTGGGTAAAGAATTTTGAATTTGCTGCAGATGTCCTGAGGCCATTCATGATTTGGAGAGAGGAGCGGGGCTCCTTGCTTGCTCTTTCCTTTTGCTTCTTTGAGATGTTTCTTTCTGCTGAGGTGAGTCTTTGTCACAGCTAACATCCAACATCTACTGAGCGCTTGCTGTATGCCAGGCATGTTTTGAGCTCTTTGTGTTCAATGTCTTGGTTAAGCTTTATGATATTCCTGTGGTGGGTTTTTTTCTTTTCTTTTTTTTTTATTATACTTTAAGTTTTAGAGTACATGTGCACAATGTGCAGGTTAGTTACATATGTATACACGTGCCATGTTGGTGTGCTACATCCAGTAACTCGTCATTTAACATTAGGTATATTTCCAAATGCTATCCCTCCCCCCTCCCCCCACCCCACAACAGGCCCCAGTGTGTGATGTTCCCCTTCCTGTGTCCATGTGTTCTCATTGTTCAATTCCCACCTATGAGTGAGAACATGCGGTGTTTGGTTTTTTTGTCCTTGCGATAGTTTGCTGAAAATGATGGTTTCCAGCTTCATCCATGTCCCTACAAAGGTGGGTTTTATTGCCTCCACTAAGGATCAGGAGCCTGAGGCTCAGAACGGATAAACTTGGCTCGGAGCCTCGCAACTTGTAAGTGAAGGTAGGATTAGAATCCAAGGGTGAATCCATGCCTTAACCACTATACTTTGAGGCCTCTCCTTGGTTTTAATGCTTCTGGGTCAAGTGATTCCGCCTGTGGTAAGTACCTAGAGGGAATACAGAAGGGTACTGGGCATGTGGGATATAGATTCTGGAACAGATGAGGTCTCAGCCCTGTGGGGTCCAAATATAGCTAAGAAAATGAAGCAGCTGAGCAACTGTATAATTATCCAAACTGTAAGAATTTAGAAATAGCAGAAAAGATCATGTTAGGGGCCGGGGATCATAATTTGGGTTTGGAAGATGGATGATGTTAATCTGAGATGGCTTCCAGAAGGAGCCTAAAGGTGAAATCAGAGTAGAGTGGGGTGGAAGGCAGTTTATGGGATAGTGGGTGGAAAGCACGATGGGGAGGGTTCTTCAACATTGCGGTGGAGTGAAGTCCAGGGAGAGCCTCTTCAGATCCCCTTCACAAGGGCACTCTTGCACAGTGATTCCTGGAGGCTGATCATGGGAGAGCAGGGAGTTGGGAACCACTTCTTATCTATTCAGTGGTGCTCTCAGCAACTGTATGACAGATCCAACTCTCAGCATAGGTGTGAAGGAGAGAACTTGGTTTTGATACTTCTCTGATATTTTCCCCTCAGCCCATTGTTATTCTGTTCCATAACCTCATATTGGGTCTTCACCATGCCAAGTTACTTGGGCTGGCCTCCTCCAGGGTGTACCCCTCACTTCAGCTCTTTTCTCTTCCTCCTTGCCTTCCAATTCATTTGGAAGATATTTCTTGAGCATGTACTGTATGTTAGCATCAGTGTATTATTAGCCTCAGTGAGTGGTTGACTAGCTGGTTAAGGTGATAGATGAACTCATACTACATTGTTTTTGTTTGTTTGTTTGTTTGTTTTGAGATGGAGTCTCATTCTGTCATCCAGGCTGGAGTGCAGTGGTGCAATCTCAGCTCACAGCAACCTCTGCCTCCTGGGTTCAAGTGATTCTCCTGCCTCAGCCTCCTGAGTAGCTGGGGTTACAGGAACGTACCACCATGCCCAACTATTTTTTTTTTTTTTTGTATTTTTAGTAGAGATGGGGTTTCACCATGCTGGCCAGGCTGATGTGGAACTCCTGACCTCAAGTGATCCGCCCACCTCAGCCTCCCAAAGTGCTGGGATTACAGGCATGAGCCACCGCGCCTGGCTTCACTATATTGTTAATGTGCTGATGTGGTCTCCTAGTGTGAGCACGTAGAAGTTAAGAGACAGAACCATGAGTGGTTGCTGATACTTTTAGAACTAGGCAGAGAATAAGTAGCCTGAGAGGGAGCATGAGGAGCAGTGGCTCTAAAGATGAAAACAGAGAGCTCCATTGGAGCCACAGAAGCAAAAATGTGAACAAGGAAAGTCATGTGGAAGGATGCTCATGATTAGGTGAACAGAACAGTTTCCTGAAGTGGAATGTATGCCATCCTATTCTTATAAGAAGTATGTGTCTATGTGTATTTATAGAAAAATGTCATAGAGGACATACACAAAAAGGTCATTGGTAGTTCTGGATTTTAAAAAATACTTCTAAAGGTAAGGAGTACAGTAGTGGTAAGACATAAAGCAGAAATTATCTAAAGAGGAAAGTGGAGGGCACTGTCAATGCACAATGTAATAGATAGGACAAATAAGAGAGAGACACAGATGTAGCCATTGGCTGTGACAATATGGAGGTCTTTGATGACCTTGACAAAAGCTGATGGAATGGGGAGGGGAGGGGAGGGGCAGAAGTCAGACTGCAACAGGTTAAGGAAGAAATGGGATGGGGGGTCACTTAGAGACTGTGTGTAGACTGCTCTTTCAAGGACCTTAAATACCTGCTTTTAAAAAAAGCCATTAGGATTGAGGCTGGAAGAAGTTGTGGATGAAAGAAAGACATTTATGAAATGGGAAAGACTGGAGTGCATCTTTAGGTTAAGGAAAGAACCAGTCAGATAAGTTGGATAGAGATACTGGAGATGGGAGGTGGGAAGGGGAAGCATGGTTCCTCAGGAGGCAGAAGGAGATGGAGCTAACAAGCAGAGTTAGCCTTAGTCGTGGAAAGGACATCTCTTTAACTATGGGAGAAGGGACAAATCGTGAATGGACATGTGCCGATGGTGATAAAGATGATGTATATGGTTCGGGAAGGAGAGGGTGCTCATATGATGGTCTTCACTTTCTCAGAAAAAAGTGGTAGATGCAAGCTCTGCTGTGAGTTAAGTCTGCCCTGAAACAAATGTCACCACAGGCATCCTCAGTATTAGGTTGGATGTAAGCTCTTAGTCTGATCTGGCATGTTCCTGTACATCTCTGATGTGTTGCACAGTATCAGCATGTAGTAGATGCTTAGAAAATATTTGGTGATGATGCAAATATATGGTTAGGAAAACAATGTGGCATTCCTAGTCTGTTCTTCATTATTCCTGTCGTTCCATGAATTCTCCTTCTATTTCTGGCTCCATAATACCAGAGGAACACAAACAAGGAAGTATCTAAAAAAACAGAAACGATGACAGTGAGAGAGTTTGGAATCACAAAGAATGGACAAAGAAGCTGAGAATCTGTAGCAGGCAAAAGCAAGCTTTTGGAGAGACCCAAAAGCCCTCATCAGCTATTTTGCAGGCTGCCAGTTGGTGGGTTGGTATTTGCTCTGTGTTTCTTTGAAGAGGAGAGTCAGGACCAAGCAGTGAAAAGCACCAGGAAGCATGTTTTCTTCAACCTAAGTTGTCTAAAAGTAGAAAGACTGTTTCACAAGCTGAGATCTCCTGGCCGCTAAGAGCGTGGAGGTATAGGCTGGATGGCTCTTGGTGTGGGTGTAGCTCAGGGGTCTCTGGGCAAGACGGCCTCTTGGATCCCTTCTAGCTCTAGCGTCCTCTGTGCCAACTATAGGGGGTCATTCTTGGCCTCTGGACCTCGTGCTGTCATCAGGAGTTTCTACCAGATTTGAGTAGAAATGCACTGAACTTTTTTTATCACCTCATAGTTAGTTGGATACTTTATCTAGATCTGCCATGCTTTGCTGCTACAATGTTGGTTTAGGTTCACAAACATGACCCTGAACACTTAAAGTTGCCAAAAAATTAGCAAACGAAATAGGGTGGAAAGCCCAGAACATGATGATTGACATTTACTAGAGGCTCAGTAGATATTAAAAAGCTAGAAAATATTAAACATTGTCTTTTTAGTGTTAAGCATATAGGTTATCTATATTCAATATTTGTAGTAATCATGGGGAAACAACTTGGTCTAGTGATGATGTGGACAGGAGACAGGGAAATACTGGGCAGAAGAGGGTGGTTCCCCAGCAAAGGCCCCATCCTCAAGCCTGGATACCCATGACCCTAAATGAGAACAGGCATTCTTGTTTTTGTTCCCAAAAGTTGCCTTCGCAACCATCGCACCCCTATCCTGTACCCATATAAACCCCAAACCCCAGGCTCCAGAAGCAGATGAGGAGACAAGGAGATGAGACAAAGAGATGAGCTGATGAGTGGCAGAACAGCATGGCAGAGAAGGGGAGAAGAGAAGGAATGTCTGAATGCTGAGAGGAGTTCAGCTGGTGATGATCAGAGGGGAGATCGGCCGCTAGATGGCCAGACTCCAGGGGAAGACCATCTTTCCACTCCATTCCCCTTCCAGCTCCCTATCCATCCCACTGAGAGCCACCTCCACCACTCAGTAAAACCCCTGCATTCATCCTTCAAGTCTGTGTGTGACCCAGTTCTTCAGGGATGCTGGACAAGAGCTTGGGATACAGAAAGCTGTCACACTGGCCCCCTGCCCTTGCAAAAAGGAAGAGGGTCCACTGAGCTGGTTAACACTTAAGCCATTCACAGATGGCAAGGCTAAAAGAATGCACTGTAACACATGCCCATTTGGGCTTTGGGAGTCGCAGCCTCCCACCCCTTGATGCTTCTATGGGGCTGGAGCCCAGGGATGCTTGCTCCAGCTCCTGCACATCTCTGTCTCTGTGCCCCCCCTCCAATAAGGGGTTAGAGCAATGGTGGCAACCAAACAGAGGATGCACATCCCTGTTGCACATCCTGTGAGGGGTGTCAGGGAACTCTACCATTTCATCAAGAATAGTGCCCATTTTGAAATCAGACAAACCCAAGTCTCAGTTTCTCCTCCACCATTAGCTGTGTAGCTTTCTTACTCTTAGACATTTCAGATCAAAGAGAACGTGCATCACTGTAATTTTCACCAGTGGATGAAAAGTTCTGCTCTTTGATGCAACATGGGACAAACTGACCAGTTCCTCAGGTAGGGAAGTAAGTAACCTCTCTGAGCTTTATTTTCCTCATCTGGAAATTAAGGGAGGTGGAAATTTCCCAGAGTAGTTTCATAAATTGAGTAATACCTGTAAAATGTTCAGCGCAGTACCTGGTTCACAGTGAGCAGTCTTCATTTATCTCTTTTCTTTATTTATCAAAATATTTAACTCAATGGAAATCCTTTGCTGATTATCAGTATTGTCCCTAATACACTATTGTTTATATACTGTCAGTATAGTGATCATTTGTTTTACATTATTTCTCCATTCCTTTCCATCCCTTTTGCCTTTTTAGATCATCGTGTACAATCCTATGAGGTGAGCTGGGCATAGATTAGAAAATTTATGTCCTAGATGGAGATGCTGTGGCCCAGCATAGGTCACAGCTGTTAGGGTTATAGAGATGGAGAGAGAGCCTTGCTTATACCCAGGGACCTGCTTGCTGAGCCAGCCTTATTCTTGGGGGACAACTAACATCCAGATTTTATAGCTGGGTGCCCTTGGTTCTCAGGTAACTTGTTAAGTGTGAAATTATGAAATATATATTTGATCTTCCTCCCAGTTTCCTGACATACAACTCCTAAAATCCTTGGAATCTCTAAAGTTATGTGTCTTTTTGAATGTTAAGGAGTTGACTGGTGGCTGGCAGCCCCTTAGTAGCTTCAGGATGAGGCTCATCACTAGAAAGACCAATGCCTGATGAGACAGATGGGACTTTCAGCCCCATCCCTCAACCTCTGGGAACGGGAGAGTGGCTGAAGGTTAAGCTGATCACCAATTATTTAATCAATCATTCCTACATAATGAAGTCTCCATAGAAGTCCGAAAGGACAGAGTAATGATGAACTTCCAGATAGCTAAACATGTGAAGGCTCTTGGAGGGTGGTACACCCGGGGAGGGCATGTAAGTTCTGAGCTCCTTCCACCATATTTTGCTTTATGCATCTCTTCATCTCTATCTTTTGTGATAATCTTTATAATAACAATTTAGGGTAGATGTAAGTAAGTTTCCCTGAGTCCTATGAGCTGCTCTAGCAAATTAATCAAACCCAAGGAGGGAGGGTCGTGGGAGCCTCAATTTATGGCTGGTTATGTTACCGATGGAGGGTGTCCAGGTTGTTGGCATTTTGAACAAAGAATTGGGCAAAATGCACAAAGCAAGGAAAGAATGGAGCAACAAAAGCTGAGATTTATTGAAAATGAAAGTATCCTCTATGGGGTGGGAACATACCCAAGCATAGGGGCTCAAGAGCCCCGTTAGAGAATTTTCTGGGGTTTAAATACCCTCTAGAGGTTGCCATTGGTTACTTGGCTTATGCTCTATGTAAATGAACAGGATCAAGTAAAGTTACAAAGTCATTTACTCAGTGTAGGCCCTGTGCAAATGGAGAGGCTATTTCCTGTCATAGCTGAAGTGTTTCCATTTGATTTAGTTCTAGGAAGTCAGCATGAATCAGCTTTATTTTCCTGACCTCCAGACCCTGTTCTCCTGCCCCAGTTGGTCAAAAGCACAGGTAAAACAACTTGGGGCCTGTGATTGGCATCAGAAATGGGGCTCAGTTTTGTGGGGACAAGTCCCCAACCTGTGTGATCTGACCCTATCTCCAGGTAGATAGTATCAGAATTAAATTGAGTTAGAGGACACCTAGCTCATGTCACTCCAGAATTGCTTGCTTGCTTGGTATGTGGGAGAAACCCCCCACACATGAGGTGTCAGAAGTATAGCAGCAGAGGCCGGGCACAATGGCTCATGCCTGTAATCCCATCACTTTGGGAGGCCGAAGCGGGCAGATCACCTGAGGTCAGGAGTTTGAGACCAGCCTGGCCAACATGGCGAAACCCCATCTCTACTAAAAATACAAAAATTAGCCGGGTGCAGTGGCGGGCACCTGTAACCCCAGCGACTCGGGAGGCTGAGGCAGGAGAATCGCTTGAACCTGGGAGGCGGAGGTTGCAGTAAGCCGAGATTGTGCCACTGCACTCCAGCTCGGGCGACAGAGCCAGAGTCTGCCTCAAAAAAAAAAAAAAAAAAAAAAAAAAGCGTATAGCAGCAGAATCTGAGTTTGTGTTTTCCACTCATTGAGAAAGGCTCATTTCATTTCTTTATAATGTACCTACATGTCTTTTTGTAGTCTACCTTTTGGATTTTCCATTGTAATGTACAATTACATTTTTTAAATTTGTCAACTTTTAGGATTTTTTTCCTTGATTCAGGAAGGCAAGGATAATCTTTTTCCTCTGACACTGACTTTGCAAGAGGTTGTCAGTGATATTAGCGATACATTGGGATTGATGTCAGGTAGCCAGTAGAGACAAAATTCAAACCATCTCCTGCTTTGTATATCCACTTCTTTATCTCAGATGTGGCTTTCTCTATGCACCTGTCCCTGGGAGCCACCCCTCAGAATCAACCCCTTCATCCCCCAGCACATGCAAGTTGCCTGTAGCTCCAGGCTGCATTTATTTCATTCTGCTTCAATTTGTTTTTTTTTAACTGTACCTTTAGATGTTTAATATACCTCTAGACTGACTGCCCCAGGCAAGCACAGATGTTTCAATCCCTCTTTATATTATCCCTATGCCTAGCCTATAGTTGGTACTCAGCCTATTTTTTATAGGCACATTCCTTTCACAAACACAAATACACACAAAAATGATTGGGGAGCCAAGAGAGGCTTGGTTTGATTCTAGTGGACAGTCACTATACAGTTTATGTGATACCAGGTTATATAGGTGCAACCCTGAGCCACCATTAGAGTTTATGTGCTTTGTTCCTAGAAACTTGCACCCTGAAAGGGAGACATTTTACCTTAGCACTGTGAGAAGGGAGTAATGATCTCTAGCCCACATTCTGCTCTGGAATTACACCCCTAGGAAGTATTTGAGCTCATCCAGAGCCATGGGAGGGGGCTCGGTCCTTTGCCAAGTCCCATGCCCTGCCCAGACCATGATCCTGGGAGATGTCTTACTCCCAAGGGGACTTTGGATGAGGGTCCTCTAGAGAGCTGTGCAGCCCTGTGAGGCTCAGCAGAGACCCTGGTGCAAGCTTTAAGAGTGGTGTTGGGCATGACAATGTACAGTGTAGCCCCTGGGAACTAGGGACTCCTGGAGGGTGTGAGAGATGCTGGAAAGAACACGGAGGACTCTGCAGCTGTGCCAGAGGCAGCCATGTGCCCAGGGGCTGGTGCTACTGAGGAAGACAGCGAGCCACAGACCCACCACCCAGGAGTGCGTGTGGAGTGGAGCAGAAGGATAGGCATCAGGCTAAAAAGACCTTTGCGCTGATGAAAGTTGGGGGTCACCCTTGGCATACATTCTAACATAGAGACTTTTCATTCTCCAAGCAAGCTCCTCACTGAGGAGCTATAATAGTGTGATTTGAAGTGACTGAGCTGCAGGAGAAGTCACTTAAGGCAGTGCTGTCAAGTCATAAGGTGACGCAGCAGGAAAGTGGTGCTAACTAGATGGGCTAGGAATATTGGCCCCACAGGTGAACTCTGAAGAGTAGCTTGGTTGCCCTGATCAGTCCAGCCCATTCTTACCCCATAAGAGGGGTAAGTGTTAAAGCCCACAGCTTTACCTTAAACCCCGTGCTTTGCAGCATGGACAGTCAGCCTTCTCTCCTGGCCTTCTCATTTAGGTAAATAGGGAATGCTCTTGAAGGAGGCTCTCCCAATCTCCTGGCCTCGGCCGTCGAATTGAAAAAGGGTCTGCTTCTTAACCTCTGAAAATAAACTGTCTGATCTGTGCTACCTAAGGCAAAGATGGCGAGCTCTGGATCAGCTACTTCTGCCCTTCACCTTGTCTTTGGGCATGAACCAGATACATAGCATCTCCTCCATGCCTTTCCCTTTCTTGTCAGGAAAGCTAATGATGTTGGAGACCCAGACCTGCTGATTTGGTTACTGGCCGTTAGATTCAAGTCAACACATGCAGCCTGGGTAAATGAGGCTCTACAGGCATGCGGGCGCTTGGAGGGCATCTCTTTGTTCTTTGGCTCCATGAAATGGCTCTGCTTGGCAGCTGCCCCTTGCCTGCAGTTTCTCCTGTCATGGTCTTGGAAGGCAGGACCATGGTGTGGGTGGGAAGAGCTTGGAACAGCACATCTTTCATTTGGACCCAGCTGCTTCTCTGTATCCCCACACTCAGGACCTGGCTTCTCTCTGCAGCAACATTAGCCGCCTATACTGGAGAGTGACTAATAACTCATCTTCTCTGCCTGCCTTTCTCAGGGGTAAGGTAAAGTCAAGCTCAGTACTCTTCGAGCCGTGAAACTTCTTTTCTCATCTTGACTCCACTTGAGAGGGAGCCTTCCAAGCAAGTGAAATGCCATCAGTACGGTGCACTTCTTTCCCCAACCCTTGGGAAGTGGCTGTTTCCTAGCCTGGATCACTACATTAATATCCAGATCTACAGCTGACATCTTTGGATTTCTTATGACTTTATTGCATGAACAGAAGCATTTTTAATCTACAGAAGACTCTGCTTTGTGTGACACACGTTTAATGTCATCCTTAGACTGCCTCTATCTGTAAAATGCCAGCTCTTAAAATATTAATCTCTAATGTGCACTCAAGACTTTACTCAATTACCATGGGATTTTTCAAATAAGCATCATCATTCCCGCAGCCCTGACTGCATTAAGAGAAAAATGCTTACCGGCCCATTGTTTCCTGAGCGTGGGATGATGGTCTTGCTTTGTTTCCGTAAATGTTACACTGGCACGGCTGTGTTGGCTACTGCAGATTTATTGTCATTCATGCCCAAGCTCAAGCATTATCAGTTTTCCTTTCCAGTGCCAAACTTTAAAAGGTGCCGTCTCTGATAGGGATCGTGAATCATAATTATGGTAAATGAGAGGCAGTTGAAACTGTTCTGTCAAAGCTGATTTGTCAGAGTGCGGATTTCAGTCCGGAGAGGGAGCAGCCTCCTCATTACCACCAGCAGTCATTCCACTTTGATTATTTTTTGAAAATCACATCAGTTTCAAAGACCTTTATTTTCCTTCTCCCTGAAGACAGTCTTGAGTGTCAGTGTTTTGTGAGGGGTACCCATATAATACGTGCTGGCATTTTCTCCCACTTTTATCCCTTTCTGGGTATTGAAACCCACCTGTGGCCACCTTAGATGACCATTTTCATTTCCAGTGTGTATTTAAGAAAGCCCAGGATACAATAGAAACGTGCTACTAGGAAACAGTTTGTTACCTTGAGTCAAGATTCATCTCAGGCTTCCTACAAGTAACCTCCTTTGGCTGGGTTTTGTGGCTCGTGCCTGTAATCCCAGTGACTTGGGAGGCCAAGGTGGGAGGATTGCTTGAGGCCAGGAGTTTGAAACCAGCCTGGGCAACATAGTGAGACCTGGTCTCTAAAATATATAAAAAAAAATGTAGCTGGGCATGGTGTGTGTACTCGCGGTCCCAGCTACTCAGAAGGCCGGGGTGGGAGGATCCCTTGAGCCCAAGAGTTTGAGGCTGTAGTGAGCCATGATTGCACCAGTACATTCCAGCTTGGGCAACAGAGTGAGACCCCCCACTCAAACTCTCCCCTGTGCATTTTGCAGTTGCCTGTGCATTTTAATTTTGGTTAAAAGACCAGAGTTAACTTCATGGCAGCAGAGGGGTAGGGAAAATGGGGAACTCAAAAGCATAAGCTAATATTTCAGGAGCTCTGTGTTCTGAAATCCAATTAGGGAAGACAGATCCCCTCTGCTTTGATAGAAACCAGTAGCAAACAGCACACTATTGTGATATTTTGTAACTCTTCAAGAGCATCTATGCTTATGTCCCAAATGTTCCGAGACCTTTATAGACCTTTCGAGAGGCCTCATTCCCTGGTTCTTTCCTAGCCCTTGAGCTGTTCCCAGTTGTAAATCAAAAACCAGGAAAGTGACTGCCACTGAAATCTGTGACCCTGACTCACTCATCCCTACATCTGCTCTGCCCTGCTCTGTGCTCCAAGGTGCTTTTCAAGGGTCCTGACCCCACGCTACTCTTTTTGTGACCCTCGAACACACTGGAATTGAAGTGATGTGCCTGGCTAAGGAAGAGGTATTGTCGGGAAAGTTAACCCAAGTAATCCAGCACAAAGGCCAACTCTCGTTGGCCTCCTGGACCCCATCCCCTTGCAGATATCAAATACTGACAGGCCCAGCCATGGTTTTATTTGAGGCTTTTAAAGTTAAGGTCCCATATGTTAAATATCACAACTTGAGTACTTTAATTTTAAAAACATGTAACCCTGGAGTTTTGCTTTGTGGTTAAATCTCCCTTTTCTTTCGGTAGTTCCAGCAGCTTTCTAGGAGAGGTTGGCATTGGCATGTGTCCCCCCATCAGTCCCCGCCAGCTGTCCCTTTTGCTCAGGGTATCTCCTGTTGGTATCTGTGATTTAGTCTGACTTTGTAAATATTCCCTCCAAACCCCACAGCACTTTAGAGGAGAACACAGTGGCAGCAGACATAAACAATGACACTTATGAAGCCACAGTTTCTAGCTGGAGAATCATCTTTTGTTTACAGGGAGTGACAGTCAAAAGAAGAGGCAAAAGAGATGAACCAGGGAAATGAGAGGGATGAAGGAAAGAGCAGGAGACAAAGGAAATTCGCCAGGATTTATTGAGCATCCTCCTGAATTTGGAGTCTAAATTAGACTCTGGTGGAGTAAGAAGGGAAATGTTATAATTCTGTGTTGCAGATATTGATGTAAGGTGAGGAATCCTGCATGCTGTCAGGCCTGGTGAGGTAGCTCGGAAGTACTAAAGAGCAGCATATCAGCAAGTTGAAAGAGATCATCTAGATTGAGATGAATGCATGAATCTTAAAGAGGTAAAGAATCAAAGGGTGAGATTGGCTGGGGAAATTTTCCTGGAAGTGAATGTTAAACCCATTTTGAAAGATCAAATGTTGGAAAAGACTGGCCAGGAGCCTTCTGTGGCTGGGGGATGGGATGGCATGATTACAAGGCCCAGGTTTGGGCAGGAATGAAGTTAATGACTGGGGTGGAGAATCTATTTTGGAGACTGATAAGATGAAATTAGTGGCATAAGAGGCAGTTGGAGAATGACGTAGAAGAAGCCAAACTGATGGGTTTAATTTAGGCCATAACACAATGGGAATCCACTGCAAGTGGGACCCCCTGAAGGTAGGGACTTGCCCACCCTTGTTACACTAAATGCTTCCTGACAACAAAGAACTTGCCTTTTCTTTTCCTTTATATTACCCTTGTCATCTGTTGATTTTTGTTTTTGCTGACTGACCAACCGACCAGACTTTGTGTGTGCAGTACTGGGTTGCTTTGAAAACCTAGAGTATACACCTATCAGGGCCATGGGCCATGGGCCCTGCCTCTGAGGCCCTCTCCATGCTTTTGCTGCCACAAAAGCATTACACCACAAACCCAGATGAGGGATGAAATGCTTCGGGAACCAGCTAGGCATTTCTTTATTGCACTTGTCCTCAGAGCACTTTCTTCTAGAGACTCCAAGGCATTGTACCAGCACAGTAACCTTTAAGTTGCACAAGTTTATTTTATAGTGAACATTTTCCTAACAGCCATGATAAATGAGTTTGAAGATTAGGACCGGCAGGAGTGGCACTGAATAGGATGTGAGTGAGAGGCAGGGATGGAAAGGAAACATCCAGGAGAAACCCATAGTTCACATGCTGATTAGAGGAGGTGTATGTCCAAGATGGTGGTAATTTTGATCCCTGGATTTGGGATCTGCTGATGGAGCAAAGATTGGGAAATGCCTTAGGGGCAAGGGAGGGTGGGCTCTTTCCCCTACCTCTTCTCCTCCTGACTCTGTGGTGGGAGAAATCATGCATCCCTTCCTCATATGGACATCCTTATTGGCCCCTTTACTTCTGGCTTTTAGTACCCCCTACCCCGCCCCCACCTTTTCCTTTGGCCTAGGGAAGCTTATAAATGCTTTCAGCATCGTCTTAGGAGAAAGGTGGGAAGACAGGCAGGCAGCCAGAAAATCTTGGTGGTTATTAAACTGAGGCTTCAAGGACCTTTTTATTAGCAATTAGACTCAGCTCTGCAGCACTAAAGAGTGTAAATTCCCACTGTGTCTCCTTTGCCCAAACCTCCAAAGAATCTGTTTTATATGGTGTTTATTTATAACCCAGAATAGACCTGGGCCTGGGAGCCCTGGGGATGCTGAGACTTCAATGTGCTCTCAAACAGAAGAAGAGGGTTAGAAACCCCAGGGAGGGAAACAGTATATACCCCTTTCTGGTGTACACCTCCCCTGGGCCTTGGCATGTCCCTGTTTGTGACTGAGAGCTAGTTTTGATGCATGACATCTTAAAAAGTGCTTTTGGTGCTTTGCTTTGCTTGTTTGTTTGCAGTCTCTGGTGTGAAGATTGTAATACCACAAAGACACATGTGTCATCAGAACTTTGATCTTCCAGGACATCATTAGATCACTTAAACTGATAAAATGTGTAAACCTGTATAAGGACTTTCTTTAGACAGTTAGTTACTGCAGTAACTCATTATAAGAAAAGGATTTGGTCAGGTGACTTTTCTACTTGGCAGATAAAGGGGGAACCTGAGGGGAAGGGTGACAGTTATTTGATGGCAAAATGTTGGAGATAGACAGAAGTGTAGTAGGTACTGACTTACCCTGACACACCCACATACCCTCTGTAGGCTTCTCTGCAGCCAGTGTTAGGTGTGTGGAGAACAGCTGGCTGTCATCTGGATTAAGCATAATCAACAGGTATATGTGGCTGTTGAATCCATAGCTTTGACCCCTTAGCACTAAGTGACCTGGATCTGATGGTGACATTTTTAGGACTAATGGTTTTAAGTAAAGAACATCCCTGAGAAAGCAGTTCAGTGTTCTTGGTGTCTTCAAATGCTGATGAAAGATATAGGAATGCTACTCATTATGATAATGGCTTTTTAAAACCCCAGCTTTATTGGAGTGTAACTGATACACAAAAACTGCACATATTAATGTGTACAATTTGATGAGTTTGGACATATGCATGCACCCATGAAACCATCAACATAAAGTAATAAGCATATCCATTACCTCCAAAAGTTTCCCTGTACCCCTTTGGGGTGTGTGCGTGTGCGTGTTAAGAACACTTAACATAATGAGAACACATGGACACAGGAAGGGGAACATCACACACCGGGGACTGTTGTGGGGTCGGGGGAGGGGGGAGGGATAGCATTAGGAGATATACCTAATGCTAAATGACGAGTTAATGAGTGCAGCACACCAACATGACGTATGTTTACATATGTAACAAACCTGCACGTTGTGCACATGTACCCTAAAACTTAAAGTATAATAATAATAACATTGAAAAAAAGAAAAAAAGAACACTTAATGTGATTTTCCTTGAATGAAGTATGCTGCTGCTGGCCCATTATTAGTAAGTATAAACCTTTCATGTGTATGCAGTGTTAAAATCTCCAAAGCACTATCCATGGGCACAGCATATCTTTCCATTTTTTGGTGTGTTTACTTTCTTTCATCAATGTTTTATGGTTTTCAATGTACAAATCTTTGGCCTTCTTGGCTAAATTTATTCCTAAGTATTTTATTCTTTGTCATTCTATTTTATTCTTTTTTGTTGTTCTTTTAAAAATGATATTTTTTCTTAATTTTCTTTTTGGATCATTTATTGTTTACAGGAAAGCAACTGATTTTTATGTTACTTTTGTATCCTCTGATTTTACTGAATTTGTTTAACGGGTTTTTTTTTTGCAGTCTTTAGGGTTTTTTACGTATAAGATCATGTCATCTATAAACAGACATAATGTTATTTCTTCCTTTCCAGTTCATATGCCTTTTATTTATTTTTCTTGTCTGATTACTCTGGCTAGTATTTCCAATACTATGTTGAAAAGATGTGGTGAGAGTGGGCATTCTTGCTTGTTTCTGATCTTAGCAAAAAGACTTTCAGTTTTTCAATGTCAAACATGTTAGCTGTGGCTTGTCATATATGGACTTTATTGTATTGAAATAAATTCATTCCGTACCTAGTGTGTTGGGAGTTTTTATCATAAAAGTTTGTTTAATTTTGCCAAATGCTTTTTCTCCATGTGTTAAGATGATAACGAAGGCTTTTGTCCTTCATTCTGTTAATGTGATGTATCATGCTAATTGATTTGTGTAAGTTGAGACATCCTTGCACCTTAGGGGTAGATCCCAGTTAAACATGACGAACGATTCTTTCAACGTACTGTTGAATTTGGTTTGCTAGTATTTTGTTGAATGTTCTTGCATCTATGTGCATTAGGGATATTGGCCTGTAGGATTTTTTTTTTTTTTTTTTTTTTTTTTTCGAAATGGAGTCTCACTCTGTCACCCAGGCTGGAGTACAGTAGTGCAATCTCAGCTCACTGCAACCTTGCCTCCTGAGTTCAAGCAATTCTCCTGTCTCAGTCTTACAAATAGTGGGATTACAGGCATGCACCACCACGCTGGGCTAATTTTTGTATTTTTAGTCGAGACAGGGTTTCACCATGTTGGCCAGGCTGGTCTTGAACTCCTGACCTCATGTGATCTGCCTGCCTCAGCCTCTCAAAGTTCTGGGGTTACAGATGTGAGCCACTGCGCCCAGTTGGCCTGTAATTTTTTAATGATGTCTTTGTCTGGCTTTGGTATAGGGTAATGATGGCCTCATAAAATGAGTTTGGAAGTGTTCTTTTTCTTCAGTTCTTTTGATGAGTTGGAGAAGGATTGGTGTTACTTTTTATTTAAATTTTTGGTAGAATCCACCAGTGAAGACATCAGGTCCTGGACTTTTCTTTGTTGTGAGGTTTTTAATTACTGATTCATTCTCTTTGTTATTAGTCTGTTTAGATTTTCCTGATTCATTCTTGGTAGGTTGTATGTTTCAAGATATATGTGAAAAGATGCTCAATATCACCAGTCATCATGGAAATGAAAATCAAAATCACAATGAGATATCACTTCATATGTGTTAGGATGGCTATTATTTTCTAGAAAAAAAAGATAACAGATGTTGGTGAGGATGTGGAAAAATAGAACTCTTGTACATTGTTGGTACAGCCACTATGGAAAACAGTATGGAGATTCCTTAAAAAAATAAAAAAGAGCTACTATGTGATTCAGTGATCACACTTCTGAGTATACAAAATAATTGAAATCAGTATCTAGAAGAGGTATCTATATTTCCATATTCATTTCAGCATTATTCACAACAGCCAAGATACAGAAATAACCTAAATATCTATTGATACATGAATTGATAAAGAAAATGTGGTATATACATACAATGTAATATTATTCAGCCTCAAAAAAGAAGAAATTCCTGCCAGTTGCAACATCGTGAATGAACATGGAGAATATTCTATTCAGTGAGATAAGCCTGTAACAGAAGGACAAATACTGTATGATTCCAGTTATATACATAAGGCTATGAAGGCGAAATAAGCCCATAACAGAAAGAGAAATACTGTATGATTTCACTTATATGAGGGATCTAAAAATAGTCAAACTCCACATGTATGTAGATGTTTACTGTAGCACTATTCACAATAGCAAAGACATGGAATCAACCTAAAAGCCCATCAATGGCAGATTGGATAAAGAAAATGTGGTACATATCCACCATGGAATACTGCGCAGCCATGGAAAACAATGAGATCATGTCCTTTGCAAGAACATGGATGGAGCTGGAGGCCATTATCTTTAGCAGAAACGGAAAACCACACACTGCATGTTCTCACTTATAAGTGGGAGCTAAAAGATAAGGACACATGGACACACAGAGGGGAATGACAGACACGGGAGATGGAGGGTGGGAGGAGGGAGAGAATCAGGAAAAATAACTAATGGATACTAGGCTTAATACATAGGTGATGAAATTATCTGTATAACAAACCCCTGTGACATGAGTTTACCTATATAACAACCAGCACATGTACCCCTAAACTTAAAGGTTAAAAAATAGTCAAACTCATAGAAGCGAAGAATAGAATGGTGGTTGCCAGGTGCCGGGGGTGAGAGGAAGGGGGTCTTGCTAATCAATGGGTATAAAATATTAGTTATGCAAGATGAAGAATTTCTAGAGATCCACTGGCTAGCATTGTGCCTATAGTTAACGATACTGTATTATATACTTAAACAATTGTTAGCAGTGTAGATTTCATACTGTGTTCTTGCCATGATTTAAAAAAAATCTCCAGAGTCTTTATATATTGTCTCATCTGATCTTCACAGCACCTCATACTCAAAGAAGGTTTTAGTGCTGCTAGTGCATACTAAGTATGTATACTTAAGCTGAGCAGGTTTACTTGACAAGTTCGAGGTTACAGAAGTTGGTGAGTGGCAGAGCAGGGCCAAGGTCACATCTTCTAGCTCTCAAGCACTGCGCTCTTTCTTGTCCCATACTTCGCCACTGTTGCTGCTTGGGCTGTTTTCTAGCGGCAAATGTGCTTGGACTGAGCCATTCAGACTCTCTCAGCCTCTCTTTCTGTGAGAAAGATAGAGCTTTTGTGAAGCCAGAGTTTGGGTTTTGAACTATGAAGTTGTGGTTGAATCTTTCTCTAAGATGGAAGCTACAAGCTTGGGTTCATCAGCACAATACTTCAACTCACTGAACTACCAGCTTCATGGAGCGAAAAGAAAGATTATTTAAATGTTGGCATCTAATTACATTTACCTAGAAGTTGAAGTGTAGGCTAAATATAGCTTGAATTTAATTTCTGTTTTATAAACCCTACAATGTTCTGTTGCCAAAGAGGGCATAGAATTTTTAATAGATAATTTTCAGAATTGCATATGAAGCTTATGTACAGCATCTTTTAGTAAAGGAGCTGAGAATTAGCCCAGCTCAAAATATTTTCCCTGCTTTGAAAATAGACTCCTCTTAGCCTTATGGAGGATGACAAAGCCTGTGGTTGCCCATTAACCAACTGCTGGTTATTACTTGTTAAAATGCTGTTATTATCTCTACTGGACAGAAAAATATTAAAAGCAAATTATATTCCTTTTTGTGTACATCTTCCTTTGAAAACTTTTCTTTCTTTAAAAAAAAAAAGGGGGGATACGTGTACAGAACGTGCAGGTTTGTTACATAGGTATACGTGTGCCATGGTGGTTTGCTGCACCTATTGACCTGTCCTCTAAGTTCCCTCCCCCCACCCCCCACCCCCCAGCAGGCCCTGGTGTGTGTTGTTCCCCTGTCTGTATCCACGTGTCTCATTGTTCAATTCCCACTTATGAGTGAGAACATGCGGTGTTTGGTTTTCTGTTCCTGTGTTAGTTTGCTGAGGATGATGGTTTCCAGCTTCATCCATGTCCCTGCAAAGGACATGATCTCATTCCTTTATATGTCTGCATAGTATTCCACACATTTTCTTCATCCAGTCTATCATTGATGGGCATTTGGGTTGGTTCCAAGTCTTTGCTATTGTGAATAGTGCTGCAAAAAACATATGTGTGCATGTGTCTTTATAGTAGAATGATTTATAGTCCTTTGGTTATATACCCAGTAATGAGATTGCTGGGTCAAATGGTATTTCTGGTTCTAGATCCTCGAAGAATTGCCATACTATCTTCCACGATGGTTGAACTAATTTACATTCCCACCAATAGTGTGAAAGCATTCCTCTTTCTCCACAGCCTCATCAGCATCTATTGTTTCCTGACTTTTTAATAATCACCATTCTGACTGGTGTGAGATGGTATCTCACTGTGGTTTTGATTTGCATTTCTCTGATGCTGAGTGATGTTGAGCTTTCTTTCATATGTTTATTGGTCACATAAATGTCTTCTTTTGAGAAGTGTCTGTTCATATCCTTTTCCCACTTTTTGATGGGATTATTTGTTTTTTTCTTATAAATACATTTAAGTTCCTTGTAAATTCTGGGTATTAGACCGTTGTCAGATGGGTAGATTGTGAAAACTTTTTATAAGTAGATATGTAGCTTCCTTTCTGAGAACTACCTAGAAGATGGAGATTTGGCTGGAGGGTCATCACTGGCTGTGAGAAAGAACACTAAAATGTGGGCCAAGGCCAAAGCTAGAGCCAGGGTTGGGTCAGGGGAGCTACTGCCCATGAGAGCTGGGCTCAGGACAGCACAGCCAGCTCTGTAGAGAAGAGAAACCTGAGCAGGGGCTGGTCTCAGGGCCCAGATGGAGCCAAGGTGAGGTCACCTCACCACCAGTGTAACATGGACAAAAGTCTTGCCTTTCCTAGCCACTAAAGGCTCTGTTCTTTAAAGGACTAGTACTTTTACTTTGGGTGGTAAATCTCTTAGGGTTGGAGTAGTTCCAGAGGTGTGGTGACACATACTTTTGACTTTAGTAGGGTAATTAGGATTACAAAGTGTGGAGAAACTTCAGCATCTTTCAATGCTCTGTATTCTTTAGGAATAGGTGTCTTCCAAAGTCTCCCAGTACCTGGTACAGGACCTTATAATCAATCATCCTTTCATTTCTGTTGCTTATAATGGGTCCATGACAATGGTGACAATTTTTAACAAGTTTAAAAGCTATTCGAGGCTATCAGCAGTAAATGGAAATTATGTTACGTATTTAAGTACTGTTGACTAGTAGCTGTGTAACATACACACGCATACACATACACACATCACATATCTAGTGCTGTCTGAATGAATCTTACAATTGAGTTAAAATGACACCCATAATAGACACATTTTGGTAAAAAGCTGTTCAATCAGTGGAACAGACAGTACACACAGTAGGTTCCTGGGTTAAATTGCAAGTTGGAAAATGCAAAAGAGACTTCCTGGAGTTGGGAAATCAACTGGATTTTGTAGACTGAGTAGGTGTTGGAAAATCAGGGAGGATGGAGCAGTGTCTTCTAGATGTGAAAATGGTATGACCAAAGGCACGGAGCTGTCAAATCCTCTTTTATTCAGGATTTTAGGATTTGTCACCAAAGCCAAGTGGGGAGAAGGGAAATAAGGGTGGAAAGTTAAGGTGGAGCTAGAGTAGGATGTCAGCAACTGCCTGCCCCAGCCCGGCCGAGGAATGGGTAAGTGATTACAGGAAACCAGCAAGCCCACCTCGGCTCAGTGCAGGAAACCGTAGTAAAAGCCATGTCTGTCAGTGTCTGGTGCTTCATCTTCATACTTTGTTGGGGTCTGGGATTAGTCTGTCATAGAGTTAGGTGATAATGTAGCAAGCCAAGGAGCTATTGTATAGGTCCTTGGAAAAAAGAAGTGTTGCGATTTTAAGATTAATGCGTTTACCACATGGATTGTTACCACCCCTGTCTCCCACTGTAGGGCGTATATTTGTGTTGTTTTTCATAGTAGGTATGAGGGAGCTAGATATTTTCTTCTCCCTTTGTGTACCTCTACTCAGCATCACCCTAGCCACCAACTTTTTATGCCCCACTTCTGACACAGGCAGACGTCTGCAGGATGTCAGGGAGTTGAGATAGCAGGTGTTATCTCTGCTTGTGGGACAGAGGGCAACTACTTAGTCTGTTCAAAAGCGGAAGTTATACCTCTTGTCTTCTGACACTGAACAGTGGCTAACAGAGCTCATTGGCTTAAATCCCTTTGTAAATTGTAATCATTATTCTCTTGAGCAAGAATTCTTTCCTAGAAAGGACATTTTTCAGTTAATAAAACATCAGTGGATGTTTCTGTGGAGACTGTTTTGAAGATTTGGTTAAACGAGAAATATATCAGTGAAAGCACCCAGCCCTGGGGTTTCTGGAACTACAACATTCTAGGAGCAGATTTTACCTCTCCTATATAAAATAGGCCTAGTTATTTCCTTGGAGGGTTGTTTTAATGATTAGAAATAGTATGCATAAAGCACCTGGTGCATGGGCACTCAGTAAAGGGTAGAAGTCATCAATACTGTCTACTATTTATATAGATTCCTCCTCCTGAGTTGGGGGTTTGCTGTGGTGCATTGATTCAGTGAGATGCTTTTAAATTAAGAAGGTGGCTGCAGCATTTTCTGTAAGCAGTGACCACGCGAAGCCGGCCAGGCAGAGGCAGGCTTCGTGAAGACTCAACCTGACATAGTCACTGACGAGAAGCAATCTTTTTAGTTTTGCTTTGCTGAGAAGGTGGTGCTGATTGCTTTCTTCCATTGGGAAATCAATTTATTGTGCAGCAAATCTTAGTAAGCAGTTTCATACTATTGCTTTTCTAAAAAAAGAGACATGTTTCTGTTTTTATTAATCATGGAACTGACAGAAGATGGTAGAATTTGTAAAAGAAAATAACCTGTTTGCTCTCCTTTTTACCACACGTACTGTCTTCTATAAATTAGGAATAAAGAAGGGATTTTTATCTTCCAGTCTTGAAGCTATACCCTCTTCTGGTTTGAGACAAACAGCCTCATGTCCTTGGAGACCTGCCATATATGAATTTCTGGAATAAAAGGAATTTTCAGAGATTTTTGTTGGCTGTCATTTTGAAGGCAAAGTAACAGCCATGGTTCCAGGAGATGCCCAAAATAGCTGGGCATGTAATTTTGGGGCTAGATGCTTCCTGATCACAAGCTTGAAAACATGTCCTCCTTGGAGTTGAATCTAAGATCAAGTACCATTGGTGTGGAGAATGAGAGGTTTGTGTGCTATGGTTTTCTGACATATACAGTGCAGCTAATTTTTTTTTTTTTTTTTTTTTTTGTGATGGAGTCTCACTCTGTTGCCCAGGCTGGAGGGCAGTGGTACTTACTGCAACCTCCGCCTCCCAGGTTCAAGCAATTCCCGGGCTAAGCCTCCCGAGTAGCTGAGACTACAGGTGTGCACCACCACGCCTGGCTAATTTTTGTATTTTTAGTAGAGACAGGGTTCACCACGTTGGCCAGGCTGGTCTCGAACTCCTGACCTCAAGTGACCCCCCAGCCTCGGCTTCCCAAAGTGCTGGGATTACAGGCGTGAGCCACTGTCCCCAGCTGCAGCTCACTTTTATATAGTGAGATAAGATTAAAAAAAAAATCTCTTCTCTTGGGTGAAGAGAGCATTTGATAATCTGTTTTATAAAACAGCCATCTGTACAGTTTCCTTAAAGAGAAGTCGTTCTTCATCCTTTTGCAATAGGTTTGATTACCCTATTTTATTTTTACATACAACACTGGTTACGTAAAGTTAAGGGCAGCCTCATGATGGGCCAGCAGTTACCTCCATGCAGGTAGGAGGCAGTGAATTGTGGCCCATTTTTTGCCTCTGCTGAGTATTCTACACCAATGACCAAGCAGCCTCTGGGGGGCAGCAGAACACCGGATAAGACTACTGTGCCCTGGGCTGTCAGGCTTTTCTGACTTGTCATCCAACCCCTCGTTTGTGTCCTTGGCTCAGTGCCCAACCTTCTCTTTGCCTAGCAAAACTCATCCTCTTGGCCTTGTCAGAATGAGAGCCTTCGCCCTTCAGCCTCCTTTGCCCCACTGTCTTCACTCACACCCTTCTCCCCTGCACTCTGGAACCTTTGTGGTCTACTTTGTACCATGTCACATAGCTTAATGATGGGAATTGTTTGCTATTGTTTCACAAGCAGGTTTGCCCATCCTTATAGCAAGAACAAAGTCATGTCTGTTTCCCATAATGCCAGGAATTCCCTGAAGGCCTAAAGACATGCTCAACAGCAGGTGGAATATCCATTAATCTGTAGTGAGTGCTTGATGCCTATTTGCTAATTTGATTGTCAAGATGGTCCTGTTTTTGCACAAAGGAAAGTATTGGCTTTGCTTTACTTATTTCTGAAACTGCTACATTCTCACATGCCTTCAAGTTTAATTGTTCCTGATTGGGGTGAAATATAGAGGACTTTAAAAATTAGCCCAGGGTTGTAATGGAAGCAGTAAGTTGGCTGTACAGATGCAGATTTGCATCTTTGTCTTTCTCCTTCCCAGCTGTGTACCTTGGGCAAATTAATTTCTCAACCTCAGTTTCCTCACCCATAAAATGGGATTATCTAAGGTGATCAAATAATTTATTATCTAAACTGGAAACTGGAACACATTTGAGAGTGGAGGATGTTAAAGAAAAACCAGAGATAGGTAGTAGTTGAAGCAGTAAAAAAAAAATTATTTGGGAACTGTTGTAATAGGGGAAAAGAGACCTCAGTATGGAACTGGACTCTTTTTTTTGAGACGGAGTCTTGCTCTGTCACCCAGGCTGGAGTGCAGTGGCATGTTTTCAGCTCACTGCAACCTCCACCTCCTCCTCCCGGGTTCAAATGATTCTTCTGCCTCAGCCTTCCAAGTAGCTGGGACTACAGGCCCACACCACCATGACTGGCTGATTTTTGTATTTTTGGTCGAGACAGGGTTTTGCCATGTTAGCCAGGCTGGTCTCGAACTCCTGACCTCAGGTGATCCACCCGCCTCAGCCTCTCAAAGTGCTGGGATTACAGGCAAGAGCCACTGCACCCAGCCAGAACTAGGCTTAATTCTGAATACAGCTTGGATAAGGGGGATATAGCCAAGGAGCAAGGTGGGGGTCATTGAGTGGAATATTAAGAGGAAACATTGGGAAATAGGAGGATTCTGGCTAAACAGACCTAACAGGATTCCTCCTGAAGGCAGCCAGGGTGATCAGACACCAAGAGTAGGTGATGAAGAATTTGGCCAGATGATGGAGCATGATCAGATATTGCAGGTGGGGGGTTCGTTCTAAACTGACTTAGCAGGATTCTTGCTACAATAAAGATGGACACCAAGGTTGAGGCCTAGAGAGCTTAGAGGAGCTTGACTAAAGTTTAGTCAAGGAGAGAGTCTTTGTCCAGTGGCACAGTTTTATCATAGAGTCTTTTAAAAGATTTATTGCCTGATAAGTTGTTTTTATTTTTAGCCTGCCTACCTATACAGTTGTTCTATTAAGCCAGGTATAGTGACTCATACCTGTAATCCTTGCACTTGGGAGGCTGAGACAGGAGGTTCACTTGAGGCTAGGAGTTCAAGACCAGCCTAGGCAACTTTTATATCATCTCTACAAAAAAAGTTTTAAATTAGCTGGGTGTGGTGGTGCATGCCTGTAGTCCCAGTTACTTGGGGGGCTAAAGTGGGAGGATTATCTGAGTTCAGGAGTTTGAGGTTGTGGTAAGCTGTGACTGCACCACTCTACTCCTGCCTGGGTAACATCTAGAGATGCTATCTCTAAAAATAAAATAGTCCTGTTGAAAACATTTTGAATAGAACAATTTCCTCTCTAAAAACAATTTTATTTCCTCTTCAAAAACAAGTTTGATCTCCTCCCCTAAATTAATATATAAACAGGACAAATGCTAAATTGTTTAAAATGCTGGGGCAGTAGGTATAAACTATACATATGGTGCTTTAAAGAATCAAAGTGGTACATGTAAGTGTCTAGTACTTGGAACATACTGTGTATTCAGAAAAGGATTTTTTCATTTTCCTTCCTGGAGGAAGGTTGGACAAAGAAGCACTGATCAGCAATAAAGGCCTATGGGCTTTTTAAAAAGGCTATTGCAAGAAGGGTATGCTCCTAGCTTTCCAGGTCCTAACAGCTCAAGGTGTGAGTTTTGTCCAACTCAAGCAGGAAATTACTGATTGAAGAACATAGTACTGTCTCTACGTACTCAGGCAGCTGTCTCAGCAATGGAGAACATACCCAGGGGACAGCTATGCATTTTGTCTGGTACTTTGGCTGCCCTGTGAGCACAGAGCTCTTTTCTTTATTGTGAATTCACGACTGCTTCTGGGCAACCTGCCTAGAAAGCTGGGGAACCGTCTCTGGCACCCATCTGCTGCACCCAGCTCCTGCCTGTTTAGGAACGTGATCTTACCAATTGCATTTAAATAATGGGTTTACCATAAACTTAATAGTTTGAGCTGTAAAATCCACACTTGCTGTATTAGTCCATTTTCATACTGCTATGAAGAAATACCCAAGATTGGGTAATTTATAAAGAAAAAACACTTTAATGGATTCACATTTCCACATGGCTGGGGAGGCCTCACAATCATGGCAGAAGGTGAAGGAGAAGCAAAGGCACATCTTACATGGCGCCAGGCCGGAGAGCATGTGCAGGGGAACTGCCCTTTATACAACCATCAGATCTCGTGTGAGACTTATTCGCTATCATGAGAACAGCATAGGAAAAACCCACCCCCATGATTCAATTACCTCGCGCTGGGTCCCTCCCATGACACGTGGGGATTATGGGAGCTACAATTCAAGATGAGATTTGGGTGGGGTCACAGCCAAACCATATCACCTGCCTTGAAGGTTGCTGGCCTCATGTAGCCAGAAGCTTAACTGCCATTCTGTGATTGGATTTCCAGGGTTGGGCCCATCCCTTTCAGAAACTCTAAATTCATGACTTCTTGCCCTGCCTCTTGTAAGTGCTATTTTGCTCTAGTAATGAGAGCTCTTGAGCCTGTGTGTTCATTTAACCTAACACCCTGCAGAGCTAAGGCTTGGGTTTTCGCCAACTCCTTGTGGGATGGAGAATCCAAGGAATCTGGCCTCTTGGAAGTGAGGAAGGATCTGCATATGTGAACAGCAGTATGTGACAGGATAGTCAAGCTGGGGAGCAGATAGAGTTGCAGGGCAGCCCTCTGTATGTCTCCTAACAGCCTCTTCTTTCTCTAGGTATGTGTACATTCCAGTGGGCGGGTCCCAGCATGGCCTGCTGGGGACACTGTTTTCCACGGCGATGACATTTGCATTTGTGAGCTACTGGCATGGCGGCTACGACTACCTCTGGTGCTGGGCAGCGCTCAACTGGCTGGGAGTCACTGTGGAGAATGGAGTCCGGAGGCTGGTGGAGACTCCCTGCATCCAGGACAGTCTGGTGAGCAGGATCCTTGCTGCTGTGTTAGGGGACAGTGGAACTAGGCAGATCAGGTTTATTAGGGATGGGGCCATCAGATTCCCTGCCCCCACTATGGGCCCTTTCTACTAGGTTGGTTCAAAGTCCATATGCCTAGAGGCAAGACAGCTGGAAAAGAAGCTTCTGTAGTGCATATATGTGTGTTTGTGCATGGGTGTGTGTGTGTATATATAACTATAAAAAATGTATTATGTAAAAATTAGAACATTTAAACAAGAAAATAACCTCTCAACAGAAACCATGTTAAGATCCATTCTTCTAAATTTTTTCCATGTGTATATACAAACAGACATATGTATATAACATTAAAACAAATGCTATTACAGAGAGATGATTGTATCGGGACCACCTTTTTAAGTCACTGAGTCCATACCTAACCACCCTTTTTAATGGCTACATAGAATTCCCTTACGTGGATATGCCATAATTTATTTTAGTCTCCTATTATTAGTAATCATATTATTCTAAAGATTTTTTGCAACTATCAACTGTATTAAGATGAATATCATAACCAGGATGAATTCTCGTAAGTGAAATTTCCAGGTTCAAGGTTTTTCTCATCTTTAATGTTCATTATGTATATTGCTTATTAACTCTTAACTGCCCTGTAGACAAAAGTACACTAATTTGTATTTCTACCAATGGTGCATAAGAATGACCTTGCTAATACTGAGTATAACTGGAATTTTAAATCCTTGATAGGTATTGTATATAGTAGTATAAAAAACAGCTAAGGTTTTTAAGAAGCAGTTCAACTTTACAGGAAAATGATTTGGAAAATCAATTAAGCATTTCTCTTTACACATATATTTTAAGTGATTTTAAACTATGGGCATAGCTTTTATCTTGCGAATGTGATATATGATATATTACAATCTTGTAGGAAATCATCAGTTCTGAAGATGTAGCAATATTCCTCTAACCCCGAAAAAAGTAGCTAAAAAGAAATGTGCTGGCATCAGTGTTCATGGCAGGCAATCACACACAGAAAATTTGAAAAATGATTAATGTGGCTACATTCCACCCAGTGTGAATAACTAAAGCAAATGCACTTTAAAAAGCCCTGTCAAAACAGAATACATTTACATATGTTTTTATAAAGATAGCCATAGTACAAGTGGACAGTTATTTCAATAAAAACTGAAATAAACCGAGTAGTCAAACAACACATTGGAGGGGATTTAAATATGCTCATGTATGTATAAAGATAAATATTTTTCCAGCCATCAGCAGGAAAGAAATGCCAGTGGATTCTAACAGAAAATGTTATTTCAGTGAAAGCCATGGCTATGTAACACACAGGAAAACCAAAAAGGATGGTATCATAAAGATTTTAATCTTCATCCTCAAATCTGAGCATTCTGCTCCAAAGCCTGAAAACACAGTTACCACCTTTGAAAGTCAGAAGGTTCTTTTCAGCCCAGTCTGTAGCCCTGCAACACATTTCTGTGCTCTTTCATGAAGCAAGTAACATTAACCTTGAACTTAATGTTAAGCAGTGCTCTGTGGCCTTTGAGCCATAGCTTATGCTAGTAATAATTTTAGAAATCTAAAACATTCGAGTAACCCAACTGTGCCATGTAGCCTGTGACCTGTTCATTTTGGTTCAAAATAAATCAAGGCATCAAGCACACTTACTCACAGGATGAAGCTCTTGCTTGTCTACCTTGCTCCATCACACCTTGCTCCAGGACTCACTCATTCACCTCACTTGACCTTCCATCTACAATTCAGGTACCTTGGTACATAGTAATTTTTGATATGCATTTTTTTGGCAAAATATTTGTCTTATATGTTGCAAGTATGATGTTTGGCTTGCATATTTATTGAGCAAGAATATATGAAACTTATTTTTATCACCTACAAGCCTGGTAGGCAGTTACAGCTATTTAGACGATGGACTCCTTGAGTACATGGCCAGGTTCCCATTACTCTGTTTATCCCCATTGTCTGAGTGAGCCTCAGTGTTAAATCAGTGCACAATTAGTGCTTTCATATCAGGTTGATTATTTAGTTCTTCCTCCACTTGCCCAGACATAGAATCTTCCTCCAGTACCCTGTTTCTTATGTAGTTCCACACAACATCCAAATGCACACAATTTTTTGAGTAAACTATTTCCCCACTTAGGTTACCCTTCTTCCCTCTCTTTTCATGAATCAATTTCCTGTTCTTCTGTCAAAATCCAAATGAAGACTTACTGGCTTTGTGAGTTAATTATGCATGCCCCTCACATCCTCAGTAGTATTCAGAGTTCTCCAGAGAAACAGATCAATAGGATGTGTGTGTATTTTGGTAGGGGGATAGGGATGACGGTAAAGAAATTTAGTATACAGAATTAGACCATGTGATTTTGTAGGCTGAGAAATTCAGACCCAGGAGAGCTGATGGTGTAAGTTCCAGTCCAAAAAAAAAAAAAAAAAAAAAAGGCAACAGAAGACCAGTGTCCTAGCTCAAAGACAGTCAGGCTTGAAGACAGAAAAAAATATTGTGTTAGCTTTCTATTCTATTCAGAACTTCAACAGATTGGATGAGGCCCGCTCACATTAGGGAGGGAAATCTGCTTTATTCAGTCTACTGATTCAAATGTTAATCTCATCCAGAAACGCCTTCACCAGAACACCCATGAATAATACTTAAGTGAATATTTGGGCCCAGTCAGGTTTACAAATAAAATTAACCATCACACCCTTTCTTCATGGTGTATATCCTTCATCTGTTTTATTAAGATAGATTAGCAGATCTCTAAATAACAAAAATTATTTTTTCTTTGTCATATCTTCTTTACAAAAAATGTTTGTGGGTACATAGTAGTTGTTTGTATTTATGGGGTACATGAGATATTTTGATACAGGCATGCAATGTTTAATTATCACATGGGGGTAAATGGGGTATCCATCATCTCAAGCATCTATCCTTTCTTTGCGTTACAACCAATCCAATTATACTCTTCCAGTCAGTTTTAAATATGTAATAATTGTTGACTGCAGTCACCTTGTTGTGCTACCAAATACTACATCTTATTCTATATAGCTATATTTTTGTGCTCATTAACCATCATTCCCCCCAACTACCCTTCCAAGCCTCTGGTCATCATCCTTTTACTCTCTGTCTCCACAAGTTCAGTTGTTTTAATTTTTAACTCCCACAAACAAGTGAGAACAGGTGAAGTTTGTCTTCTGTGTCTGGCTTATTTCCCTTAATTACTTCCAGTTCCATCCATGTTGTTGCAAAAGATAGGCCCTCATCCTTTTTTATGGCTGAATAATACTCCATTGTGTATATGTACCACATTGTCTTTATTTGTCTTTTGATGGACACTCAGGTTGCTTCCAAATCTTGGCTATTGTGAATAGTACTACAGTAAACATGGGAGTGCAAATATCTCCTTAATTTACCGATTTCCTTTCTTTTGAGTATATCCCAAGCCATAGGACTGCTGAATCATATGATAATTCTGTTTTTAGTTTTTTGAGGAACCTGTGAACTGTTTTCCATACCGTGGTCTTGTACTAATTTACATTCCCACCAACAGTGTACAATGATGCCCTTTTCTCCACATCCTTACCAGCTTTTTAGGTAAAAGCCATTTTAACTGGGGACAGATAATATCTTATTGTAGTTTTGATTTGAATTTTTCTGACTTTAGTGTTGAGCACTTTTTCATATACCTGTTTGCCATTCATATGTCATCTTTTTAGAAATGTCTATTCAGATCTTTGCCCATTTCTTAATCAGATTATTAGGTTTTTTCCCCGTAGAGTTGTTTGAGCTCCTTATATATCCTGGTTATTAATACCTTGTCAGATGGACAGCTGACAGATATTTTCTCCCATTCTGTGGGTTGTCTCTTCACTTTGTTGATTGTTTCCTTTACTGTGCAAAAAACTTTTAACTTGATGTGATCCCATTTGTCTATTTTTGCTTGGTTGCCTGTGCCTATGGGGTATTACTAAAGAATTATTTGCTAACTCCAGTGTCCTGGCAAGTTTCTCCAGTGTTTTCTTTCAGTAGTTTCATATTGTGAGACCTTAATTTAAGTCTGTAGTTCATTTTGATTTGATTTTTTTTAATATGGTGAGAGATAGGGGTCTAGTTTCATTCTTCTTTATATGGATATCCAGTTTTCCCAGCACCATTTTTTGAAGAGATTGTCTTTCCCCCAGTGTATGTTCTTGGCACTTTTGTTGAAAATGAGTTCACTGTTGATGTGTGGATTTGTTCCTGGGTTCTCTATTCTGTTCCACTGATCTGTGTGTCTGTTTTTGCCCAATACTGTACTATTTTGGTTACTAGAGCTTTGTCGTATATTTTGAAGTTAAGTAATGTGATTCCTCCAGTTTTGTAATTTTTCCTCAGAATAGCTTTGGTTATTCTGTGTCTTTTGTGGTTCCATATAAGTTTTAGGATTTTTTTTTTAAATTTCTGTGAAGAATGTCCTTAGTATTTTGATAGAGATTGCATTGAATCTGTAGATTACTTTAGGTAATATGGATGTTTTAACAATATTGATTATTTCAATCCATGAACATGGAATATCTTTCCATTTTTTGTGTCCTCTTCGATTTCTTTCATCAGTGTTTTATAGTTTTCATTGTGGAGATATTTCACTTCTTTGGTTAATTCCTAGGTATTTAATTTTATTCATAGCTATTATAATTGGGATTACTTTCTTGATTTCTTTCTCTTAGTCTGGCTAAAGGCTTGTCAATTATATGCATCTTTTCAAAAAACCAACTTTTCTTTTTTTTTTTTTATTATACTTTAAGTTCTCGGGTGCATATGCACAAGGTGCAGGTTTGTTACATATGTATACATGTGCCATGTTGGTGTGCTGCACCCATTAACTCATCATTTACATTAGGTATATCTCCTAATGCTATCCCTCCCCGCTTCCCCCACCCCACGACAGACATGGGTGTGTGATGTTTCCCTTCCTGTATCCAAGTGTTCTCATTGTTCAATTCCCACCTATAAGTGAGAACATGCGGTGTTTGGAAAAAACCAACTTTTCATTTCATTGATTTTTGTATTTTCATTGTTTCAATTTTATGTATTTCTTCTCTGATCTTCGTTTCCTTTGTTCTAATTTTGGGTTTGTTTTGCTCTTTTCTAATTCTTTAAGGTGCATCATTAGGTTATTTTTAGTTTTTCTACCTTTCTGATGTAGGTGCCTATAGCTATAACTTTCCTCTTAGTACTTCTTTTGCTATATCCCATCAGTTTTGGCATGTTGTGTATCCATTATCATTTGTTTCAAGGAGTTTTTCAATTTCTTAAGTTCTTCATTGACCCTCTGTCATTCAGGAGCATATTGGTTAATTTCCCTGTGTTCGTATAGTTTCCAAAATTCCTCTTGTTATTGATTTCTGCTTTTATTCCATTGTTCAGAGAAGATAGTGGATATCATTTCATTTTTAAAAATGTTTTAAGACTTATTTTGTGGCCTAACATATGGTCTATCCTTGATAAAGATCCATACGTGGAGGAGAAGAATGTGTATTCTGCAGCCATTGGTACAGAAATGTTCTGTAAATGTCGATTAGGTCCATTTGACCTGTGCTGCTGGTTAAAGCTGATGTTTCTTTGTTGATTTTCTGTTTGGATGATCTAATTCTGAAAGTAGGGTGTGTAATTTCTTCAGCTGTTATTGGGGTATCTCTCTTTAGCTCTAATAATATTTGCTTTATACATGTGGGTGCTCCAATATTGGTTGCATATGTTATTTACAACTGTTATATCTTCTTGCTGAATTGATCCCTTTATCATTATATAATGATGATATGTAGCTTTGTCTCTTTTTATAGTTTTTATCTTGAAATCTATTTTGTCTGATTTAAGTATAGCTGCTGATGTTCTTTTTTGGTTTCCATTGGCATGGAATATCTTTTTCCATTTCTTTACTTTCAGTCTATGTGTCTTTATAGGTTAAGTGTGTTTCTTGTAGCCCACAGATTATGGGGTCCTGTTTTTTAATCTATTCAGCCGCTCTGTCTTTTGATTGGACAGTTTAGTCTATTTACATTCAATGTTATTATTTATACATAAGGACTTCCTCTTGCCATTTTACTATTTGTTTTCTGTTTTATGGTCTTCTCCTTCTTTCCCTCCTTTCTGTCTTTTAGTGAAAGTGATTTTCTCTGGTGGTGTGTTTTAATTTGTTGCTTTTTGTGTATCTGCAGTGTGTTTTTTGATTTGAAATTACCACGAGGCTTGCAAATAATCTTATCACCCATTATTTTAAACTGACATCTTAACACTAATTGCATAAACAAATTAATAAGCAAAGAGAAAACGAATAAAAACTCTACACTTTAACTTTGTTTGCACTGCTTTTAACTTTTTGTTGTTTTTGTTTATGTCTCATTGTACTATCTATGTCTTTAAAAGTTGTTGTTGTTATTTGTTTGTGTTTTAGTCTTTCTACTCAATATATGAGTAGTTTGTAGGCCACAATTACATTGTTATAGTATTCTGTGTTTTCCTGTGTACTTGATATTGCCAATGAGTTCTGCACCTTCAGATGATTTCTTACTCCTTATTAACATCCTTTTCTTTCAGATTGAAGAACTGCCGTTGGCATTTCTTGTTCTGGTGTTGATGAAATTCCTCAGCTTGTTTGTCTGGGCAAGTCTTTATTTCTCCTTCGTGTTTGAAGGATATTTTTGCTGAATATACTATTTTAGGATAAAAGTTTTTTTCCTTCAGCACTTTATGTCTTGCTACCCTCCCCTGAACTGTAAGGTTTCCATTGAAAAATCTTCTGCCAGATGTGTTGGAGCTGCAATGTATGTTATTTGTTTCTTTGCTCTCGTTGCTTTTCAGATTCTTTTTTTTAAATTAATTTATTTAAGTTTTAGGTTACATGTGCACAACGTGCAGGTTTTTTACATATGTATACATGTGCCATGTTGGTGTGCTGCATGCATTAACTCATCATTTAGCATTAGGTATATCTCCTAATGCTATTCCTCCCCACTCCCCCCACCCCACAACAGGCCCCAGTGTGTGATGTTCCCCTTCCTGTGTCCAAGTGTTCTCATTGTTCAATTCCCACCTATGAGTGAGAACAAGCGGTGTGTGGTTTTTTGTCCTTGTGATGGTTTGCTGAGAATGATGGTTTCCAGCTTCATCCATGTCCCTACAAAGGACATGAACTCATCATTTTTTATGGCTGCATAGTATTCCATGGTGTATATGTGCCACATTTTCCTAATCCAGTCTATCATTGTTGGACATTTGGGTTGGTTCCAAGTCTTTGCTATTGTGAATAGTGCCGCAATAAACATACATGTGCATCTGTCTTTATAGCAGCATGACTTATAATCCTTTGGGTATATACCCAGTAATGGGATGGCTGGGTCAAATGGTATTTCTAGTTCTGGATCCCTGAGGAGTCGCCACACTGACTTCCACAATGGTTGAACTAGTTTACAGTCCCACCATCAGTGTAAAAGTGTTCCTATTTCTCCACATCCTCTCCACCACCTGTTGTTTCCTGGCTTTTTAATGATTGCCATTCTAACTGGTGTGAGATGGTATCTCATTGTGGTTTTGATTTGCGTTTCTCTGATGGCCAGTGATGATGAGCATTTTTTCATGTGTCTTTTGGCTGCATAAATGTCTTCTTTTGAGAAGTGTCTATTCATATCCTTCGCCCACTTTTTGATGGGGTTGTTTGTTTTTTTTTCTTGTAAATTTGTTTGAGTTCTTTGTAGATTCTGGATACTAGCCCTTTGTCAGATGAGTAGATTGCAAAAATTTTCTCCCATTCTGTAGGTTGCCTGATCACTCTGATGGTAGTTTCTTTTGCTGTGCAGAAGCTCTTGAGTTTAATTAGATCCCATTTGTCAATTTTGGCTTTTGTTGCCATTGCTTTTGGTGTTTTAGACATGAAGTCCTTGCCCATGCCTATGTCCTGAATGGTATTGCCTAGGTTTTTCTTCTAGGGTTTTTATGGTTTTAGATCTAACATTTAAGTCTTTAATCCATCTTGAATTAATGTTTCTATAAGGTGTAAGGAAGGGATCCAGTTTCAGCTTTCTACATATGGCTAGCCAGTTTTCCCAGCACCATTTGTTAAATAGGGAATCGTTTCCCCATTTCTTGTTCAGATTCTTAATTAATACTTGACTTTGGGAGTTTGGTTATCTTGAGGTAGTCTTATGTGGGTTAAATCTATTTGATGTTCAGTAACCTTCCTGTACTTGAATACTGATATCGTTCTCTAGTTTGGGGAAGTTCTCTGATATTATCTCTTTGGAAAAATGTTCTACCCCTGTCTTTTCCTTTCTTTACCTCCCTTTTAAGGCCAGTAACTCTTAGATTTGCCTTTTCGAGGCTGTTTTCTAGATCTTATAGGCATGCTTCATTCTCTTATATTCTGTCTCTTCTGACTGTATTTTCATATAGCTCATCTTCAAGTGTGCTAATTCTTTCTTCTGCTTGATCAGTTCTGCTAAGAGACTCTGAGGCATTCTTCAGTATGTCAGTTGCATTTTTCATCTTCAGAATTCCTGCTTGATTCTTTTTAATTATTTCAGTGTCTGTTAAATTTATCTGATAGTAGTTTGAATTCCTTCTCTGTTTTGTCTTGAACTTCATTTAGTTTCCTCAAAGTAGCTATTTTGAATTCTCTGCCTGAAAGGTCACATATCTTTGTGTCTCAGTGATTTACTCCTGGTGCCTTCTTTAGTTCGTTCACTGAGGTCATATTTTCATGGATGGTTGTCATGCTTGTGGATGGTGCATTGGTATTTGGCCATTGAAGAGTTAGGTATTTATTGTAGTCTTCACAGTTTGGGCTTCTTTGTGCCTATCCTTCTTGGGAAGGCTTTCCAGGTATTTGAAGGGACTTGGGCATTGTGATCTAAGTTTTCGGTTGCTCTAACTGTATTTGCATTACGGGGCACCCCATGTCCAGTAATACTGTGGGTCTTGCAGACTCATAGAAGTACTATCTTGGTTATCTTAGAGAAGATCCAGAAGAATTATCTGGATTGTCAGGTAAAGACTCTTGTTCTCTTCCCTTACTTTCTCCCAGACAAATGGAGTCTGTGTGCTAAACTGCCTAGAGCTGGAGGTGGAGTGACACAAAAACTCCTGTGGGCCACCACTACTGGGACTGCACTGGGTCAGACCTGAAGCTAGCACAGTACTGGGTCTTGCCCATGACCTACAATAACTACTGCCTGGCTACCACCTATGTTTGCTCAAGGCCCTAGCGTTCTATAATCAGCAGGTGGCAAAGGCAGCCAGACTTGTATCCTTCCCTTCAGGGTTATGGGTTCCTCCTGGTCCTGGGTGGGTCCTAAGATGCCATCCAGGAGCCAGGTCCTGGAGTCAGAAACCTTAGGAATCTACTTGGTACATTATTCTACTACAGCTGAGCTGGCACCCAGGCTGCAATACAAAGTCCCTGCCACTCTTCCTTCTCCTTTCCACAAGCAGAGGAGTCTTCTCCCTTGGCTACCACCACCCCAGGCTTGTGGCAAGTACTGCTTGGCTATTGCCAGTGTTCATTCAGGGTCCAAGGGCTCTTCATTCAGCTTGTGATGAATGCTGCCAAGCCTGGGTCCTTCCTTTCAGGACAGTAGGCTCCCTTCTAGTCCAAGACAGGTACAGAAATGTCTGAGCCAAAACCTGGAACTGGGGACCCCAATAGCCTACTCGGTGCTCTACTCCACTGTGGGTGAGCTGATACCTTGGCTGCAAAACAAAGTCCTCTTTCCTCTTCCCTCTTCTTTTTTCAAGCAGAAGGAGTTCCCCATAGCTACCACAACAGGGAATGTGCTATGTCATGCCTGAAGCCAGCAAGTCTCTGAGTCATACCAAAAGCCCACAGCAAGCACTGCCTGGCTACCACTGTTGATTATTCAGGGCCTAAGGGCTCTTTTGTCAACAGGTGATTTATTTTGTCAGGACTGCATCCTTCCCTTCAAAGCAGTGGGTTCCCTTTTGGCCCAGGGTGTGTCTAGAAATGTCTGGGAGGTAGGGGTTGGGATGGGGGCCTCAAAACTCTGCCTGGCCCCCTATCTTACTGTGGCTGAGCACGTATCCAAATTGCAAGACAAAGTTGTCTTTACTCTTCTGTCTCCTCTTCTCAAGCAGAAGTTTGGAAGGAATCTGTCTTGGAGCTGTGAGCTATGCTGCCTGGGGTTGGGGGACGGGTGATGCAAGCACTCCCTTGGATGCTCTGGCTGGTGACTCACTAGGTCACGTGTCCCCAAAATCAACTGGCTTGAAGTTGAGCAAAGTATGAGGACTTGCTCAGGAATTAGTCCTTGTTGCCTGGACTGCCTTTCAAGTTTATTTATGACCTTAGAGCCCCTTAGCCCTTGGGGACAAGTGTTGCTGGAATCTAAGTTCTGACCACTGGAATGGATGCTTCCCCTCTGACTAGGGCTGTTCTAAGTGTCCCCTCCACAGGCACTGGGCTGAGTTCTGCCCATCTTTCTGCTGTGACAGGGCAGCCCTGAGTTCCAGTGCCAAGTCCCACAGTCACTGTGATCTTTCTCCCCCAAGTGTACAAGTTGTCACTCCCCGTGGCTGCTGTTGGAGGATGGAGGAGAGGTGGCATTGCAATTTAAGACTGTCTTTCCTACCCTCTACAGAGCCACTTTCAGTGATACAAAGTTAAAACCAGGTACTGTGATGCTCATCCAATTTTTGGTTCTTATAAAGGTGAGTTTTTATGTGTAGCTAGTTATTTAATTGGGTGTTCCTGCAGAGAGAATGATTGGTGAAGGCTTCTATTTGGCCATATTGCTTCACCTCCCACTTCTTTCATATCTCCATCTTCAACCCCAAGGCCTTATTTGGGGATCAAAATATAGAAGAATTCTATTTCTTGGTGTTGGTAGACTGAGAGCTGAACATTCACGCAAATACTTGTCAGAGCTGAGTGCTGTAAATAGGAAGCCCTCTGATCGTCTACAACAGGGTTGTCTGATAGAACTCCTATGGTGACAGAAATGTTAATTGCACTGTCCAGTACAGTAGCTACTAGCCCCACTGAGCACTTGAAATGTGGCTAGTGCCTATTTAAACTCTGGATTTTAAATATATTTAATTTTAACTAATTTAGATCCCAGTATCTCCCATATGGCTAATGGCTAACATTTTAAACAGTGCAGCTCTAGAACATACCCCCACTTCTAGAAAACATTAAAGGTTAAAGGCATATAGTGTGTCTGACCCTGCTGTTACTTGGAATGATCTTCATTAATGCCCTTGGCACCTCATATATACAACTGGCTGCTGAACCTCTTGACTTGGAAATCTACCAGGTTTCTCAGACTTTGCACGTGTAATATGGAGCTCGTGACCCCCTGCCTCCCAGTAATTCCAGCATACTCTCTTTCCCCAAATGACACCACCATCTATCTAGCTACTCAAGGCTAAAGCCATTATGTTATCCTTTGTACCTCTCTCCCCCTCAGATTGATCTGCATATACTGTACATTCTACCTCCTAAGTAGATCTCGAATTTTTTTGTTTGTTTCTATTTCTACTGAAATCCTAATCCAAGCTGCTCTCATTTCTTTCCTGGTCTACCAAATAGCTTCTAGGTAATCCCTTGCTTCCACTTCCTCCCCCTTCCATTTATTATCCTCATAGTCCTGAGTGATATTTCTCCATAAAAACCTAACCATGTTGCTGTCTTTTAAATCCTATAGTGACTCCCATTGTCTTAGAACCAGGTCCACAACATTTAAGATGACCTATGACACCCTATCTGATCTTTCACTTACTGCCTCTTCCCACTCCTCCCCCCTCACCTCTCTGTTCTTCTTTCTGTTCATTACATACCTGATCCCTCTAGCCTCAGCTCCCCAACACAGGTACTTCCATCTCCTAGGATGCTCTCTTTCCTTCCCCTCCACCCCTATTCATCCTTCAGATTTCAGCTCAAATGATATCTAGTTTGGAAACCCTTCACTGGCCCTCCTAACTCAATTAGATCCCATTTGATAATTTATTTTGGGTACCTTGTATATGTTCTCTTCTGCTATATTTATCACAGTTGAAATGAAATTTTTGACATAATTTATTCCCTCGCTGAACTGTAAGCCTCATAAGGTCAGAAATACTGTATTCTTGACCCTTATCCCAATTCCTGGCACAGTGCCTTTTTGAATAAAAGAAAGAATGAATGATATTTTCTGACTTCACTCACTGAGGGAGTTTAAGATGAAATAGACTTAGGCAGCAACATGAAGAATATAGATTGAATACCGAAAAAAACTAAAACTGAGAGTTATTGAGTATTGGGGGACTATCTTACTAAGCAGCAGCATAGATACAAATAGGTCTAGTGATGGCAAAATGCTGTTATAATGCTCAGTGCACAAAATACATATACAGGAAAGAATGGGGTAAGGAGGAATTAGTCTTCCTGGTAGCCTGCTGCTTTATGAGAGGAGGGATTGTTGGTTGTGACTCACTGAGGCACAGAGCTGTAGGAAGCTAACAAAAGGCATTTTCACAAAGCACCCAAGCTGGGTGGACGTAGAGGAGTTACTGCTGGAGCACTGTGCTTTTTCTCTGTACAAGTACTCTCCAGGGAGTGAGGATTTCTGTTTAGCATTGAAATATTTTAATCAGAGGAAACATTTTGAAGTGACACCACTTCATGCCAATTCTCAGTTTGATCTCTCCTTTGAAGGAAGGCTCCTTCAGGCTGCTTGTCGATTATTCCTACCCAAAGAAGAGTCTATATCTCAAATAGTTCACCTACTCCCACCCCTGATTTCCATTTCATTGAATAATTTAAATACGTTCTCCTCTCCCAGCCTGGCCTCCGCCTCTTTGCCCCAAGAGTGTCCTGCTGAGCTGATTTATATCCTTTCTGAAGCAGTAAAATTTCTATTTATACACTTAATTGAGGAAACATGCCTCCAGTGAAAACCACCGAGAATCAGTCTGATGGTCATGGCAGGGATTTGATGTTCTGGGGCATCAGAGAGAACCCAAAGACTCTGTGGTGGTGGTAATTCAATGTATTGGCCATGTTGATTAGTTTGATTTTGAAGATAGAGAATTCCAAATTGGGTTTAAGAAATCAACCAATTTAAAAGTATTGTTGATTGTAAATTGATCAACGTGATCCAAACTATGGTTATTTGATTCTATGGAATCCTAACTCACCGCTTGGCAAGACATACATATCTAGTTGGCCTGATTAGAAAACCTTTTCGTTAGGGGTCAGTAGTCCAAGCCCCAACTAAGCCTCTGAGGGAGTATAAAGCAAATTTGAGAAGAGCTGTGGCATTTGGTAATGGCTCATGGCCTTCTATTCCTCCTCCATTTGGATTTCTTTCAACAAATTGAAATCAAGCACTTACTGGACATAAGCCATTTTCTCCAGAAAATGGTACCCTTTCTCGACAGAGCCCACTTAGGCATAGTCAACGTGGCTATTCATTTCTTAACTTACTCATTTAGGAAAAAAATTCTCAGCACCTTATGTAGAAGACACTTTGCACATTACTGAAGGACTCTAAACTGAATAAGACATGATCCCTGCCATGAATGAAGGTGTCTTGCCTGGCCTCCTATCAGAGTACTCATATTATGATGACTGCTTTGGATTAAAGACATAATAAAACCATGAAATGGGAGCTTCTCTCTATGAAGAGCTAAGAGATCTATAAGACAAATGAACTTGCCTTTATAAACATAATAAAATACTGATTGACCTAGTCTTCCCAGGCATTGCTTAGAAGAAAGGCCCAGGCTAGAGATAGAAATTTGGGACCATATAGATGATATTTTGGAGCCATGAGAATATTTGAGACTCAGAGAGAGAGAGAGAGAGAGTATGTGTGTGAGAGTGTGTGTGTGTGTGTATGTGTGCACACACGCATGCAAAGAGAAGAAAAGGCAGCCAAGGAACACCAATATTGAGAAGTTGGATCGAGGGGGAGCTGAGGAGGAGGAAAATCTAGAGGGTGATTTCACAGAAACCAAGAAGAGGGGAGATTTCATGGAGAGGAAGTGGTCCACGGTGGTGATGCTACTCAGGGGTCGAGTAAAATGAGAGTGCTGGCAGTGAGAAAAGAAAGCTGTGAGAGTTCATCCCTGCCCACTAGGGGCTTATGATCCAGATGGAGAGGTGAGATGTGCACAGACCAGTTGAGGACCACTGTAAAGCATTACGTGCGAGTGGCCAGAATGAGGCACAGAGGCCCCTGATGTTCATGGTGGTCAGTGTGAGCTAAGCTTTTGGGAAAGGTTCATTAAAGAGCCAAGGCTTGAATAGCACACTGGAGAATCAACAGTAGGATTTGGCTAGGGTCAGGAGGGAGAAGAAGACTAGCATTGCAGGCTGGGAGAACAGTGCGTGCGCTACCTGAAGTCAGGCATGGGCATTCTGTATCCAGGTCACGAGGCTGCCAAGACAAATGGAAGAAGGGCGGTTAGAGAGGCCACATGGTTCCCATAGAAAGGGATTTGAATGCCATGCTTAGAAATTTAGGAACAGAAACCACTTAACCAAACAGGAGAGCGTTAAATTAACATATTAATCCCACACATCAAATTAGCCTGTTGTGCCAGCTTATTAGTGCTCACCCGGGCCTCTGGGTCTGGAAAAAAGCAATGCGTGTTGTTATGAACGGTGTGTTCCTTGGTGGATTACGACCCATTGGCACCCCCACAGCATTGTCTCCCACTCCTAAGGATCATTAGCAATGCAGGAAACACACTATGCAATTCGCTGGTTACACATTTTCTTCTCTGTGGGAATTGGAAGCCTGAATCTTAACCTCTCTGGTCTAAGAGGTAGAATTCTGAAAATAATTCCATGTTAGTTCAAATATGTTTAGTATGGCGAAAGCATTTTCAAGGGTTCTTTTTAACTTTCCATGACTGAGTCGGCTATCTGACAGATAGAAGGCTTTGAAATAGAACCCATTTTCAGTTATTCCTGGACTGATGAGCGCCAGGACTGGCCAGTGCTTGGCCTTCTGCTGCCTTTGCTCGGCTGCTCAGTTTCTTCTGGAGTAAGACGGGTGTCCTGCTCCAATCATCGGCTGCTATCATGGCATTCTTATACCTTCTCCCTGCTTAATGCAAACTCTCACCTGAGAAACCATAATCTCAGGAACGAGTACTGAGCCAAAGATGAGATCCATAGTGTGAATGTAAATGGTTGAAACTGGCTTTTCTCGGTGGTTTGTGGAGTTTGATTCTTTATCTGTGAGTCTCTGGTCTCTGTTTCTGCAGCACAGATGAATGGTGGTTGCTCTAATCTCAGTCTAGTGCCTAGCAGCTTTCCATAGATGAACTTGGGAAAAATAAATAATCTTAGTATGTATATGTTGAAGATTTGGCTGTGTCTTTCCAATTCTGGGTATCTTTTTCTCCCCTAAATCCAAATTACCCACTGGAGGTGACAAAGCTTGAATTTCCAGTGTTCCTGTTACTGATGGAAAGAAAAATAGCCCCCTTGTTTCTTCCTAAAATAATATGCACATACTCACTGCAATATATTTTTACAATGTGTATTTATATATGTACATATGCTGTGACTATATGTGTGCAACGTGTGTGTGTGCATGCCTATGTACTGATTTTTAAAGATCTAAGGCAGAGATGTGCAGGACTTCCAAAATAAAATTCTTCTAAAGTATCTCACATTCCTTCCAAGACCTAGAAATAAACTCTGCTTTAAAAAGCCTTTCGAGCAGCTGCTGGCCTTGTTAGAGATAAGCTGGGTTGGTATCAATATACTTGTGATTACTGACATGTATTGAAACACAATTTAAGTTGGATCTTGCTTTTTCTTCTGGTGTCAAACTTGTAGTTTACCTAATAGGCTGGAGTAATTGCTGGAACAGACACTGACTGTCTGCGGAAGGGTGGGAAGCAAGGGTATAATATAAAAGGTGAAGTTCATCCATCAAACTGACTGCAGCTATTAACAGTGATGTTAAGATAGTTTTTTTGTTTTGTTTTGTTTTGTTTTGAGACAGAGTCTCACTAGCCTGGAGTGCAGTGGTGCAATCTAGGCTCACTGCAACCTCCACCTCCCAGGTTCAAGTGAAGCTTCTGCTTCAGCCTCTCGAGTAGTTGGGACTACAGGTGCATGCCACCAAGCCCAGCTATTTTTTTTTTTTTTGTATTTTTAGTAGAGACAGGGTTTCACCATGTTAGCCAGGATGGTCTCGATCTCCTGACCTCATGACCTGCCCACTTCGGCCTCCCAAAGTGCTGGGATTACAGGCCTGAGTCACTGCGCCCAGCCTAAAATAGTTTTATTGAGAGGGAATATGTTCTTGACATATTAGTTTTAAATGATCACCAAAGAATGATAGATTTAATAAAACCTTATTTTATTTAAAAATACACATACACAGAAAAGTATGTGAAAGGTTATATACTAAAATAATTGTGGTGGTTAACTCTTACTGGTGGTATTATTTGTGATACATAGTCTCTTATTTTTGCTTATTTATATTTTCAACTTTTGCTACAGTAAATGTATACTGTTGTCTAACTAAAAATTATTGAGAGAGAGGTGAGCAGGACGGATTCACCCTAGGGAGGTTTTGATTAGCTGATCCTGGATGCTTGATTTATGTTAAAAATTGAAAGTTGGATGTAGTGGCTCATACCTATAATCCCAACACTTTGAGGGGCCAAGGTGGGAGAATCCTTTGAGGCCAGGAGTTCGACACCAGCCTGGGAAACACAGTGAGACCTCCTTGCTACAAAAACAAATAAAAATCAGCCTGTTGTGATAGCATGTGCCTGTAGTCCCAGCTACTCAGGAGACTGAGGCAGAAGATCGCTTGAGGCCAGGAGTTCTGTGCTATAGCACGCTGTGATTGTACTTGGCAAATAGCTATTGTGCTCCAGCCTGGGCAAGACTCAACAACAACAACAACAACAACAACAACAACAAAGAAATTGAAAGATAGAGGTGTCATTCTCCAGAACAAACTAGGGCTGTTGTAGTTGCCACCCTTTGCCAAAGAGGAAATGGTACCAGATACTGTACAAGAATCTTTCACATTTGTTATTTGATGTAACCACTGTAGCAAACCTCCAGGGTAGGTGTTACTACCTCCAGTGTTACAGATGTTACAGATAGGGAAACGGGAGACTGGGGAAGGTAAATAATTTATCTCAGAACACAGTTAGTTAAATGAGGGAGGGAGTCAAACCCAGTTATACATGATCTAAGCTTCCTGGATTTCAGACTAGAAGAATCTTCTTTTTGATAAACCCCTCCTACTTAGATCACCCCATTCACTTCATGTCTCTTTGCTGCTTATGCATACTGGGCATTGGATTGATTAATATTCCAGCCCTCAGTACTTGGACAACATGGGTTTCGATTGTGTCTCCTCTCAACCTGTTTATTAAATAACTACTCTGAAAAATTGGTCCGACTAAAAAGGGAATGTTCACAGAAGGAATTTTACCACATTATCTCATGTGATGTTAACAGTAGCCTTATAGGCGTGTATTATCATTATTCCCATTTTACCAGGAGAAAAACTGAAACCTGAAAGTTTAAGTAAGATACGTCCATGGCTCACACATCAAGTATGAATGCAATAAGTAAATAAATAAGCAAACAAGCAGCCTCCATTCATCCCATTCTTGGGTCCCTTTCCCCAGCAACAGTAATGTTCAGTTCTCTTAGTTGTTTGTGATTTTTACTTCTTTCCAAAGTGTACACTAATTTTATTAATTTCTTCATTTATGTTTTTTTTTTTCCTCTTTTGAGGCAGAGTTTTGCTCTTGTTGCCCAGGCTGGAGTGCAGTGGCTTGATCTTGGCTCACTGCAACCTCCACCTCCCAGGTTCAAGCGATTCTCCTGCCTCAGCCTCCTGAGTAGCGGGACTACAGGTATGTGCCACCACACCTGGCTAATTTTTTTTTATTTTTAGTAGAGATGGAATTTCACTATGTTGGCCAGGCTGGTCTCGAACTCCTGACCTCAGGTCAGGTCCATCTGCCTTGGCCTCCCAAAGTGCTGGTATTACAGGCATGAGCCACCACACCCAGCCTATTTCTTCATTTATGAATTGTAACTATTAACTGCTTTCTTTATGAAATGTTAGCATCTTAGACCTACTCCCTATTTTTCCTCCTAATATAATAACTTCATTTTTTTTTGTTAATTCAGCACTCAGCACACCATGGTAAGTGTGGCTCACTGCCAAACTGTTTAATATAAGTACATTTCCTTTCTTACACAACTGTTTCCTCCACTTAAGTGAAGAATTGCCTTGCCATTTTTTTCTTTCATTAGTTTACTGTCCCTCCTTCTTCCCAGATTCTCCAATAGAACTAGAAAATCTCTCAGATAGAATTTTCCACATGGTCAGAGGTATCTGCTCATCTGTCTATTCTCTTCCTTTCCTGGAGAATCTCTCTTGAAGCCCTTCCATCCTCTTTTCCTACCTGACTCACTGCTCTTTAGATGCTCTGTTTAGCTGTTGCACTGATGCTTCCCTTCTCCTCTCTCCTTTAACAAATCCCTGTTTCTTTGTGCTGGGTCTTGTTTTTTCTTTTTCTCCCTTGATTTGGTGGAGGACATCCTTTAGTAGCTTTTTAAGAAAAAGGCCATAGGAGATAGTTTTTTGAGATCTTGTATTTTCAAAAATGTCTTATTTTTACTCTCACACTTGATTGATTAGGCACTGGATCTCAGGTTGAAAAGTAATTTGTCCTAAGAATTTTGAAGATATTATCTGTCTTTTAGCTTTTAGCTTTTCTGTTGAGAAATGCCATTTTCATTATTGTATGCATTCTGTTTTTTGCTCTGGAAGCATTACTGCGAACATCTTCGGTATATATCTAAAATTTTACTGTGCCCATTGTCCCTGCCTTTAAATTCTCTTTGATGCAATTTATCTGTGAAAGAACTTTTATCCTGGGGGTGAAGAAGGAAGAGGGAAACCTCGTGCTCTATATGTTTATTACCCAGATTTTTAACTAATCTTCCTGTTTTTTTCTTCTTCATGGGTTACTCTTGCTATCTGTGCTACCTGGTGCCTCTATGCCTGGGCCTTATGGTTATTTGGTGTATAAATGGCTTTCATCTCTTTAGCATCTAGTATTTGGGTATCTCAAATCTGCTAATTCTTTAATCTGCTCTATCTTATTAAAATGGGTTGACTTTGCTCACCCTGCTCTTCATTTTTTATCTGTGAATGTGTATCCTTTTCAAATGTTTACTTGCATTTTAATGAGTCTTGTGAAGGCATCAGAGATGTTTATGTTGTTTAATTGGATATCGCTAGAGGAGTTTTGTTTCCTATCACTTGGTGAATCATTCTTAGATTTTAAAATATTAAGGTTACTTAAAAAGGAGGCCTTGCTTTAAGCTGTTGTTTTTGTGGTTGAACAGAATATAGCTGAGGCCACAGCTGTCACATCCTAGGCTTATTCAGTAGTCCCAAGGGATCTAAGTGTAGCCTGGAGAGGGAGGCCCCCAGTACCATGAGCAGCTATCACTTGGGTGTGATGGTCGACAGACTTTCATCTTCCCACCCATGTGCCTTGACTCTTTATGCTCAAGGGAGATGGCCAGGGTCTAGGGTCATTTAGTGGAAAGATTCCTAGGTTTTCTTTTCTTTTTTTTTTTCCCCGTTACTTCTTTTTAACTTAATGAAGTCATTCACGACCATATGCCTTAAAAAAAATAGAGAGAGAGAGATGAGGCTGAAAGTCCTCTGGGATACCCACCCCCTAACAACCACACCCTGCTCATTTTCCTCCCCAAGAGGTAACCATTATTATCAGTTCGAATGTAGTCTCCCATACCTTTGCTGCTTTGTGTTTGTGTGGTTTAAGAAATATTCTAAAATTTGCACTTCTTTTCACCCTCACTGATATGTTGTGAAGATGATCCTATGATAGTATATGCAGATCTGTGTAATCAGGAATGATATGGATGGTATGGATATATAATTTAGCCATTCTCCTGTTGAAAATTCAGGTTGCTTCTATTTTTTTCTCTTGCAAATAATGCATCTGCAGTGAAGACTCCATTTCGAGATTCCTCGTACATGTGTGTACGTGGTTCTTTAGGGCAGTTACCAAGAACAAAATAGGATAGAGGAGTTGGCAAACTAAGGTCCATGAGCCAGATTTGGTCAACTGATTGTTTTTGTATGGCCTGCAGTTATGAATCATTTTTACATTTTAAAATTGTATTATTGAATACTCTGTGCTTTCCTCAGTTATTTAAAAGATCACCTTTAATATATAGTAAGTATCAAAATAGACTTGGATTCATTTTTTGGCTATCTATTCTGTTGCGTTGATCTAGTTGATTATTCCAGTTTTAAATACTAGAGTTTTAAATTGTGTCCTGATTTCTGCTAGGGAAAGCCCCTACCTTTTCTGGCATTTTTTCAGAATTGCATTGGCTAGTTTTGCCTGTTGACTCTTCTGTCTGAATCTTAGAACTGGTGAAGTTCCCCAAAACTCTGTTTGGTATTATTATTGGAATTTTTTAGATGTGCATTTAATTGTAGTATGATTTGAGTAGAGTTAACATTGTCTTAGTCCATTTGTGCTGCTGTAATGAAATACCTGAGACAGGGTAATTTATGAAGAACAGAAATTTATTTCCTAGAGTCCTGGAGGCTGGGAGTCAAAGATCAAGACACTGGCCATTTAAGTGTCTGGTGAGGGCCCAGTCTCTCCCTCCAAGATGGCATCTTGTT